>NC_000007.14:145518985-145670500 GCF_000001405.40 Homo sapiens
TTACGTATGTAGATACACATGTAAAATGGCATTCTAAAAACATGGGTTTTGGGACAGATTAGGATTGTCAATATTTTCTGTTTTAAAGACCATTTAATTACAACTGACTTCAGATCTGTGTCACTCCATACTTTGACTTTCCAGCTAAAAGTACTTTTTAGCCCCTACAATTAGTTAGTCAATGTGTGAGATGTTAGGGTACAACTGCAGAAATCTAACATTCAGACAAGGGAAGAGACTTACCTTGAGGTTTTCCTTTACTTTGTTGAATGAAGGGGGCATATTTTTGCATATTGACATATTAAAATGTGCTCATTGAAGGACATATATATCTGTATATGTATGGAGGATATATATTATGGAATATATATAGGTATCATATTTTATATATAATATTAATAAGACATTGGGAAGAAGAAGAGAGGCAAAGTCTAGGGAGTACTTCATATTTTTAAACAAGGTAGCAAAGCAAATAGTGAGAACAACTTGATGTATTAAGCTAGTAAGAAAATTGTACAGTGCATGTATTTTTAGGAAATTATATTTCAACTGTTGGGCATACAAAATGAAAAATAAATTTTAATGAAGTTTTTCTTAATTAAATTTTTCAAGCAAGATTTTAACAGCCATGTAGTTTGAAAGCCCCAAGCTGTTGGTTAAAATTTATTAGGTTATCAAGTTCCTTTTATATCTAACACTCAGTGATTATAGAGTATCATCAGATTTTTAGTCTGTCTCCTTAACTGACGTTTTGTGTTGCTTCACACATGAAAAGCTTATAAAAATATGTTCTTAGGACAAAGAGTGAACATGATGAAATAGTATCTTTTCTGTGTAAAGTGTTCTATATATTTCTTTATAGACAGAACCTCTTACAAGAGATAAAATTGCTGATTTTATCTGAAGAACATAAACACAGACATGTACACAGGCATACACACAAACACACACACACATCTGATTTCAACATTGTCCCCCACAAAGACCAGTAAACTATCTTTTTCTTAATTAAATAACACCTGGACTGTACTTAAATAATAGTGATATTAATGGTGACCCAAAAAGGTATAAGTAATATTTATATTTTTTATGAGTGTACATATCAAAGCAGTGTCATCACATTACATATTCTTGAATTCAATATTGATTACATTAAATCATCCTGAATACAATGGATACATTCACATACTTTTATTGAAAATATCTTTTCAGCTAAAACTCATGGCCCACAAAGTATTTGAAGTTTATCTTTATTTTACATAAGAAACCTTAAATTCTACAAAATATTAAAAAGAACCTTAACATACCCACTCTTGATACGAGGAAAAAATAGGACAAGATGAATGGGAGTTTAGAAATGCAATCAGATACATACAAGGAACACAGGACAAGAATAATTTAGACTGTCACAAAGCCATGAGACTGCCTTTTTGTTTCTCCTTGAGGATGAATACATTACGAAGGATTAGTAATGCCATAGAAATTGGATCCTGAGGAGAATGTCACCACCTCTTTGACAATAACTAGCTTTCAGAGCTGAACACAGTGAATCTGGATACTGTGTATATGTTTAAATGAGTTAGGAAATGACATCACATTATTTATTTCTTCTTTTGTGACTTAGTAAATTGACTTGGCCTATAGTACCGACTTGTGATTTTTATCCAAAGAGGTATTCAGTTGTGTTCATAATGCAGCATAAATGTTCACCTTGATTTTGTGGAAGTTGCACATCTTTTCGTAGAAATCTATTTTTAGTAACAATTCTTATTTGCCTAAACATGTGCCAGGAAACTTATGATTAGTGTTTTTCAAACTCTGTAACAACAGCAACAACCACCAAAAACTCTACCAGGTAGTTTTGTATGGCTTTTAGTATCAGCGTAGTATCTGTATTATGTGCCCATTAGAATTTTTAACATCCAATGATAAAGTAATTTTCTATAAAATAATCTATTTCCAAAAAACAGAGGAAAAAATAAAACCTCAATACAGTAAATTAGAGGTCAAAATATGGTTCCACAATTGATTATTCACAATTCCAAAATCAGAAAAATACTCCAAAAACTTAAAATATTTCCACAAGTTCTGCATAAACTTGTTTGGGGACAAAACTTGACCTGAAAGATATTAAACTGTAAGTGTTCTTTATTTATGTGAATATTCAAATGTTTTGCTACAGAAATATCAAAGTGTTTCATTACATGATGTAGCCTCAGGCTCTTCAAGGGTAGTATGCAGCATATGGGTTGTATTACCTTTTCAAAATCTAAAAAACTTTGGATATACTCATAACCCAGTTTCAGGGCTTCAAATAAGGGATTTTTGAAAAACCCACATCATAATTGCTGATTGATTCTGTGTGAAAATCATGATGGGAAATATTGGTAAGTCATACTTTGAGAGAAACATCAGACTGAATTAATGTGTAGTCCAAGGACTAGAAGATTATGACTCAAAAATTCTAGATTTCATTTATGAGCAAGGACTGGGTTTGGGCTGAGGTGCTTAAATGACATGATGGTAGATTCCGTTAAGGGACCCTGCACCTAAATAAGATATTCTGATGTGTGTTTCGTTTCACAGGTTTTAGGTAAGAGAAATACTGAGATGAAATCATCCTGAGTTGTCCTCTCTCTATCAATCTCTTTAGAGAAAACTGTTTTCCACCAGAAAGTAAGCAATAGTCTCATCCCTAAAGTCCAAAGATAAGCTTTTGTGCTTCTAAACTCCTGTGAGCTTCAAGAGTGTACATAGTACACATTTCTGAGCAGACAAAAAGAGTTAGAGATACCAAGTGAGACTTCATCAATCCTTCTGCTGGTAACAACAGTCTTGGCAAAAGCATTAATCATCCACTTGCAGGTAGCAACCATCTGGAGCAGCGATGGACACACCTTTTGGTGTGAGATCAAAACCTTTGATCAGAACCTTTTGATCTGAGACGGAACAGTTTTATCCCCAAACCATCCACCCCCACAACCCATCTGTGGAAAAATTGTCTTTCACGAAATTGGTCCCTAGTATCAAAAAGTTTGGGGACTGCTGTGTTAAGGGGTTCTACTCACCAAAGTAAAGCCACAGTCAAAAATACCTTGAGGGAGAGCAAAGACCTGACTTCTGGTCATCTAAGAATGCCTGAAACTACAAAATGCATTTTCTCATTCATTTAAAAAAGATTAATTGAATTCAGTGACTATGCTCATGATAGAATTTTGATGCTAAAATCATTTTAAAAGATGAAAAACTAAATTTTATGATAATGCAAAATGTTTAAAATATTTAAATCTATATCATCAGCATAAATGGCATAGCGACTCAAATTAACCTAAACTTATTGGCAAAAAGAGTCAATAGAGATCTAATCAAATAATGATATATAATTGTTTTCATATTCATTTAAATAATTTATATTTAAATGTTTCCCAATTATCTTAAAATATTATTTCCTGAAATAATACTTTTAAGAATAGATTTGTATCCATTTTATCAGATTATTTTATCTTCTCCTAAAGCTTTGTATTACTGAAGCATTAAACTTATGAATGGTCACAAATTTATGCAAAGTGAATTAGATAACTTCTCACAGAGCATCTTTTATATACTATACTAGGGAGATACAAACAAATAAAATATGTCCCCTTCCTTTAAGGAGCTCACAGTCTTCTCAGGAGAAAATAATCATGCAAATATTAGAGTAAATCCAAGGGAAGTTATAAATGCTATGAAAATACAAATAAGTAGATTCTCTTAACGAATGTGCAGAAATGTATACATTTTAAGAAATGTTCATTGCACCTTACTCTATTCCATGTATACATATCAAACTAGTATTTTTATAGTTTTTATATTTTATGATCTGTATTATATTCTCTGTAATACTACTACCAACATGTTTCCTTTCTCACTGAGTGCTGTTCTTTATATGTTTTTATTAGCTGAAATGTATTAAATAGGAATTTATTTTAAGTATTTTTGCTGAAGTAATAGCAAAATTCAAAGTTTGTTTATTCAATTTAGGTTATGAGTGGACTATCTTGGCTTTTTCAAATGATCAGAAATTTCAAACTTTTGTAGGTTTCATGCATTCAAATTTTTGGATAATTATAAATTTTGTTGGGAAAAATGCATGCCTTCCACCAGGTGCCTTCCACCAGGTCCCTCCCATGACAAGTGGGGATTAAGGGATCTACAATTCACGATGATATCTGGGTGGGGGACACAGCCAAACCATATCACTAAATATTAACTGATTTATAAAAGTTTCTTTTTTCCCCCCTTTTTAAAATGTTGGTGCCTGAGTGTCTTTTTGATCTACCTTTGGGTATTTACATTTTGTATATTTCAATAAAAGTAACAAATAATTCACCATTAAAAACTTTTAGCACCTTTCCACCCCCATTTTGAAAAGTAATTAAGGTCCAGAGAGTTCTCCATATTTAAAGGTATTGTTATATAGCTGAACATATGTATTTTGTGACAGACTGCAGTACCAAGAGCTCTCTTTCTATTCCTTTCAAGAACAAAAGTGCTAATAGGAAATAGTGAGAGCTGAACCCAGGGACCAAGAGAGAAAATGTCCTGAAGGAAAGAGAAGCCAAGCTGTTATGAGCACATGTTTAGAGAAGCCGAATGCAGAAAGAAGTCCTTTACTCTTGTGAAAGGCTGTGCCTGTTCCTAGTTTGGACAACTCCTTCCCAAAGTGCAGGAGGTTTATGTGCCGTGTAGCATGGGAGCTTCCCAGGCCGTAGTTCTATTATTCAAGGGAAGGTTATAAACCAAGAGCCCATCTCATGATAGGCTGGTCTGGGACACTCATTCAGATAAACGTCAGGACGTTTTTTTTTTTTTTTCCGAGTTGCTAGGAAGTATTTGGAGGGGCTGAGGCTCAGATCACTGCACAGTTTTTATATGTTCTGAACTGTATTTTAGATGAGGGTTTTAAAAAATATCAATTAGAATTCATATGTACATTCAAGGCCCTTGAGTTTCCAAAGCAGGCACACAAAATTAAGTGAGTCAGCTTAACAACCCTGTTTATCTCACATTTTAAAACAAAACTTCATTTGACAGCCTCAAGGGTAGATTTTTGTTTTTATGGTGTTTCAATCATTTTATTCAAAACTGACCATTATAATAAAGCTGCATTTGGTGGAAAGAGTGTCTACAATTTCCTGAAGCCAGATTTCATTCATTCATGAATATTCTATTTCTTGAGGTTAGAATGTGGCAGCTCCTCTGAAGGTCAGGTTAGAATGTGTCCACTCAGTGCCCAGTGATCAGAACACATAACCATGTCCTAATGTGTTGAACTTGTGCAAGCCAGATGTAAGCTATTAGACACAATTAGTGATTCAGATTCCAAGGAGTTGCTTTTCGTGTCAATGGCAAAAATGGAGGATATTAATTGCACTGCTTCGAGTTTCAGCCTCTTCAGCCGAATGAGATGTTTTGTGATTTCCCCAGGAGCATGAGGCTTGAAGCTGAAATATATTTCATGACAGATTGACAAATAGGGCAGCTTTTTAAAACATATTCTAGATTCTGGAATATAAAACAAGAACAAATAATAAAGAATGAGTTTGATTTTCTGTCTCAAATACAAGTAAGTTGTTTTCAAAGGATTATCTTATTTAACATTTGCATTTTTTATAAAATGTGTGTTTTTTCTCTATTTTTCTTATATATGGAAATGCATCATTGATATATTCTATATGGGTTTTTAATTCAGCAATAATTTAGCTGTAATTATTACTTGTTTGGGTGTTCAGAGTGGGAGTAAAATGTAGAAAATAATCAAATATTTAAGTTTATTTGTTTTTCACTGTAGTAAGCCAAATAATGTCCCTCTCCCCACTATCCTCCCAAATAAATGCTTACATACTGACCACTGGAAGCTAAGAAGATGTTATATTATTTGACAAAAGGGACTTTGTAGATGTAATTAACATCAGGGAACTTTATATAGAATATTATCTGATTGGACACAATCTAATCTAAATACGATGAGTTTTCTTATTCCATTGCCTCAGTCATGTTTTTGATCAATGTCATGTCATCACAGAGATTCTTTCTGCCCTTTCTGCTGAAAATCACACTCTATCTTATTCTATCATGATATTCTGCAGTTTGTATCTATCAATCTAGAGATCTTACACTGTATCAGTTTTTTAAAGCAAATAACTTTGGCTGGAGGCAGAGAGAGATGTGGAGAATCTCTCATGACCCTTGTCTCTTGGAATTTCATGGAGATTTCCAGAGCAATAAGGGTTTGAAACACCACCACTGTTTTTGAGAACTGGTCCATGTGCAAGGACTGGAATGTGGCTTCTTGAGGTGAAATGTGGCCGCCAGATGACAGTTGGCAAGGAAATTAGATTCTGCTAATAATGTGCATGAGATTGAAAGTAAGTTTTACCCAGGGCCTCTATAGAACTGTGATATTATAAGTTTATGTTGCTCTTGTTCTGGTAAGCACTCACCTATCTCCTAGCCCTGTATGAGTCTAGGAATTGCTTTAATTTCTTTACATCTTCCTGGCATTTCTTTCTCTGTTATCTTTCACCCTAACCATGCATACATTTTTATTAAGCAATGCACTCAAGGGGAACATTCTACAGGTTTCTGTATCTTTTTTATCTGCATAGCTCCTTTCTTTCTAGTCTCTTCCCAATTGATTGTAGCTACCTCCGCCTCCTTACATTAATTCTGAGATCTGGCTTCTCAACTCATTGAGAACACCATGCCCTCTTGTGTTCCCCCTCCCTGAGCTGTAGTTCAAAAAGTACCTTAAGGAACACAAATCCAGTAATCACAGGCCTCACCTCATTTATTTATTTTATTATAGATCAACATATGGCAATATCTCTTGTCCAATATCTTAAAAGAGTTTTTCCCACAGAGTTTTTCCACTTGTCAATTTTTTTTACAGCAAAGGCAATTCCGTAGTCATTCCCCCATCATCCCATAAAAGGAAGCCCCCACAGTAGGGAATTTTTTAACTGGGAATTTCCACTTCTTTAAAATCATTTTTATTGACTTGTTATTTGGGACTTTGTCCATGCTGTTGCCTTTTCCAAAGGTGAAATATAACAAATAGACTATTTTTTAAAAATGTATCTGCAGCTTTCAGAAGCCTTGGCAATCATGTAACTCTTGAACCTGCATCAGCAGAATTATGTCCTTGCCTTCATGATCCAAGTCTTCTGCTTGCTGTCTACTGGGGAGAATAAGCAGGGTCTGAGGTTCAGGTGACAAATGTCAGACTACAAACATGAAGGAGAAATGAAGTATGAAAGAAATTGAAGCAGTATATATTGACTATTACTTTCAAAGTATTTTGTGTAAAACTAGAGTGGTACATTCTGATGAGATATTGGAAATACCAGGATTAAAGAAAAACTACTTTTATTTGAGGTAAGAAGACATATATATGCTTTCTAACTGAAAGAATAAACTATTTGGAAGAGAAACAGAAAATGGAGATAAAAACATTTGAAAAAGAAAAACCCAAAAGAGGTAGAAAAAGACAAAACTAAGAGAATAGGGTTGATGGGTGAAATTAACTTTAAAAGAAATACGAATATTGTCTTATCTAACTCTACAGAAGAAAACACAGAAAAATAAATATATATTATCGAGATATATATATTTTATGTGTTGGGCATTATGTGTGCTAATTTATTCTGTGACCATGAGACACATTAGGTCAATATTGTGATTCCTATTTCAAAAGCAAGAAAGTAAGAACTGAGAGTTTAAATAACTTGTCCTGTCTTCTTCAGAAGTCAGTGTGAGCCTTTCACAGCAGGAATATATTCAAGCCATTTTCCTACTCAAGACCTCCAATTATTTCCATCCTACACAGTATCAAAACCAACAGGCTGTGGCTTACAGGATCCAGACGGTCTTGCAGGTCCATGTTGGTTTGAACTCAGGAAGCATCATCTCCTACAGCTTTCCCAAGGGGGATCTGCTTCCACTCCTTGGGGCTTCCTTCTTCTCGTCTGCAAACTCCCAGGGCTACCTCTCCCTCCAGAGCCTTTGCACTTACTATTCCCTGTGCTAGGAATTACCATCATGTTTCTTATTCCATTACCTCAGTCATGTCTCTGATCAAATATCCTTGCTTCAGATAGGTTCTTTCTGCCCTTTCTATTGAAAATCACACCTCTATCATACCGCATCATGACATTTTGATTTTTGTCTCTATCAGTCCAGTTATCCTATACAGTATTTGTTCAATTTCTGTCACATCCATGAGAATGTATGTTCCATAAGGGAAGGAATGTTGTTTTGTTTGTTCAGCATTGCAGTCCCAGAGGCTAAATGGATACCAGACACATAGAAGCTACTCAATAAATATTCACTGGATTAAGGCTGGGTGCAGTGGCTCATGCCCTGTAATCCCAGCACTTTGGGAGGCCGAGGCAGGTGGATCACCTGAAGTCAGGAGTTCAACACCAGCCTTGGCCAACATGGTGAAACCCAGTATTTACTAAAAAAAACAACAACAACAAAAACAAAAAACAAAAATTAGCCGGTCTTGGTGGTGGGCACCTGTAATCCCAGCTACTCAGGAGGCTGAGGCAGGCATAATTACTTAAACCCAGGAGGTGGAGGTTGGAGTGAACCGAGATCGCGCCGCTGCACTCCAGCCTGGGTGACAGAGCAAAGCTCTGTCTCCAAAAAAGAACAAAAAAATTGTTATTGGATTAATAAGCAACTGAATGAAGAGCCATACAGCTAACAAATCTTGATAACCCCAATTTCATTTTTTAAATTTCATCGGAATAAGGGAAAGTAAGGATTCTTAGGTAATGTGTTACTAAATGTTTTAGTAGATAGCAAAATCAAGAATAGCATTTATCTTCATGGGAGCAGTATAAAAATAGATCCTGACATTTTGGCTGTCGTTGTGATAGTCATAATAAAAGCTAAGCTTCACTGAATGATGCACATATGATAAACACTTTTACATTGATAATTTTATCCAGTCAATGATTTTATTATTTCCACATTATGGGTATTGAAACTGAAGCGTATATGCTGGAAAACTGAGACCATACTCAGAAATTCAACATTCAGCTCCAGATCTATGTATTCACTCACTATACTATCTCATGGTTAATCCTGCACTATCTGAGCAGCTTACTTCTAATTCACAGCTAGGGAGGTTTTAATCTGTGCTTAAGAAAAAAATACAACTGAATTTTACTCCATCCCTTCCTATCTCATTTAACAACATTTAATATTTTACATAAAGCACTTAAATGACAACCTTATTTTATATGATGTCTCACAAAAATAGTAGAACAAATAAGAGGTTCGCAACTTGTAAGAATTGATGTGATACTACTCCAGGGATTCCAAGCATTGATGTTACAGAAAGAGAGAGGGGTTTAAAAGAGAAGGAAAAAAATATAGTGAAGTCACAAGACAGCAGGCAGAAATTGACAAGAAGAAATAAAGATGGAGGAGAGAGAAAAGACACATGGATGAGGAGCAGAAGAGAGAGAAAAATACAGAAGAAGGAATAGGCAGGGAGATTCATAAAAAACACGACACTGTAGACCCAAGATTCAAGAGGGAATGAGAAAGAACTCGTCAGCTTTAACTCTGCACAAACTCACACAAAAATAAAAACTCTCTTTGTTTTTATTTCTTTGTCTTGGCCATCTTTTGTGTGAAATTAACATTATTTTAAATTTGCAGATCATAATTATATGTATTTATGTCTATATAATTTATATATATATATTTGTTTACAATTTGATATTTTGATAAATGTATACAATGGGCATGCCTAAATCAAGCTAATTAAAATAGCCATCACCTCATCACCTAGCTTACTTTTTATTTTTTTGTGGTGAGACATTTGAAATTTGTTCTCAGTATTTTGAAACATACAATGCATTATTATATGCTATAGTCATCCTGCTATGCAATAGATCTCAAAACTTATTCCTCTTGTCTACCTGAAACTATGTTTATCACAAGAGTTTTCAATTTTATCAAACGCTTTCTGCATTTATTGAGCTAATGATATGGTTTTTGTCCTTTGTTAATGTGATCAGTTACGCTTATTGATTTGCTTATGTTAAACCACGCTTGCATCTCAGGGTTAAATCCCACTTGATTATGGTGACTAATTCTTTTAATATGTTGTTGAATTCACCAAAAACCTTTCTCTTACCAGTATTTAACACATATGTCTTGGCATCCATACTCTGAACACATCAAAATTCTACCCAAATGCCACAAATATTCATTATTTTGCTTCTAGTGAGCATGTCAGTCTTAGTCAGATCCCCTGGTCCAAATTAATGATGTACGTATCTCACCTCTGTATTACTCTCATCCAACCTTTAGGTAGCTAATATCTCTGGCCAGGAGGCACATGCTTAGAAAGAATGTGATTCACCCATAATTATAATCATCCCCATCTAAGACCTGTTTAACCTTAGCCTCATCTCTAATGCCATTGCCATAATAATAGCTGTGTGAGTTTGAGGATGAGGCAGATCTGGGTTGTGGGCTGTATGTGTGGTCTTGGGTAAATTTACTTCCCTGTTTGTTTTTTTTTCCACTGTGAAAGAATAACTAATTGGTTGGATTCTCATAAGGATTAAAGATAATGTATGAAATGTGTGTTGCACTGCATTTGCACATAGTATTATCTTTAAAAGTATAGAAAATATTCATTTCAAAGACTAGAAAAAGATAAGTGAAGACTAGAATAGTCTGATGAATATAGAAGTTGTATTCCAAATTTACATCATGCAAAAATAAAAATTACAATTCATTTTAAAAATAATTCATCAAAGCTCTTATTTCAATCAACTTATTTTTTTTTTCAATTTGGCTAACCTACATCACGCTGAAAGGCTGTTTGGACTGCTCGATTTTTCTAGATGCTTCTTTACACAGGAAGATACTACTTTAGAGCATAACATATTTTCCTAAATTATGTCTATTACATTATTTGATGGTTTACAGAGAACAGGTCAGAGTTGATGAATAGTGGGGCTAGACTAGATTATACATCTGAAGAAATCAATAAGTTCATAAACAAACAAAATTATCTTTAGAAACTAAGCAGGTGTGTTGAATGCTTTATTGCTTAATTTACATTATAGCTTTTGCAAAATGAAGTTTGCCTTGTGACACTTATTGTTTTAATAATATTTTCTACTTTGGAAAAAAATTGCTTAGCATATAAAATAAAACTGTTTTACTTTTTATGTAGTTTGATTTTTTTTTAATTTGGGTGTTATTGATTATGGTAGATAAACATTGAGTCACAAAGCAGTTTATACATGAGCACAGTAATTCTTCATCCTGTTTATTGAGGGCAGGTTTGAAATTGAAATGCCATATGCCATTATGAGGAACCAGTAGTTTATGCATAAAGGCAGCCAAGAATAGTTTGCTGAAATTAATGTCGTGGAAACTCTTGGAAAAGCAAATAAAACTCAGAGGTTACTTGTATTATTCTACATATTATTATCCTGTGTATATTTTCCAATAATTTTATTTGAACTTACAAATAATCATAGTGATGATAATGTTAGATTGATGATAATTCCTGCTATTTCAGAAATTTAACAAGACAGATAAAAGTTTATGCTCATTTTCTATTGACTTTCTGGGCTCATAAAAAGCCAGAATCCTATATTCATATAATCAGCATAAATCAGGAAGAAATAAGTAAATCAGAAACAATGGAGGTCAATGTTATTTGATGTGAAATTTCTTTTGAAGTTTTAAAGATTTCTTGATTTTAGATGACCCAATTTACTGAAAATGCTTATAATGTGTTTCTCCATGCATAGGCATATGTGACCAAATTGCAGGAAAAGAAATATTGTTTCTAAATAACGTTTTTGCTTCAAGTAAGTGACTATGCAAATTTGAGGAAAGGGAAGGAAAATCTGTATTAATCAATATTAAGGAGCTAAAAGAAATCCTATGTGTTTAATTACATCTGAGAAAGAAAAAAAGTTCAAAATGAAAATGTAAAGTCTAGTTTTCACTTGTTCAGGTCAAATTTGATTTCTTTAGTATTAGTAATTTTTTAATTACTTTCATACTCAAGAAATATTTTTGAATAAATATGCCTAGTGTTTCATTTGTCAGTGAACTGGATTTGACATACAGCTCTCCTAAAAAGTTACAGTAATCAGAGTGCAGATAATGTTATTGATATAAGCTTTATCAATAAATACTTGAATAAGAGTTAGGAAACCTGAGTTATAACCCTTTTTTTTAAAAAAAATCATTTTTTCAAAACATGGGAAAAGTAAATCTTTCTAAACTTGTTACCTCATTTAAAAAACTGATACAATAATATTTTTTCATGTTCAATGAGATTATTAGGATAATTAAATGAACCTTTAAAAATGTGAGTGAGTAACAAATCTTAGAATGAGGACATGGGTATAGAAAGAACGATAGAATGTGTAGCTATGGAGATACTACTGCAACTTCAGCAGACAGACGTAGAGTAGAAGTTATTGAGAGAAAGAAGACTGTGGTGGAGAGAAAAGATTTTCCAGAACAATATGCTCTATTCTGTTATGGAATGAATGTTTGTGTCAGCCCAAAATTCATATGTTGAAATTGTAAATGCCAATGTGATTATATTTGGAAATAGAACATTTGGGAGGTAATTAGGGTAGACTGAGGCATGCTATTGTGGCTTAATGGCCTTATAAGAAGAGAGAGCTAGAGATATCACCTCTTTCTCTCTGCTCACTCATACCCACACTGAGTAGCTATGAGAGGATAGAGTGAAAAGCCAGCCTTCTGCAAGCCAGGAAGAGAGGCTTCGTCAGGAACTGAATAGGCCAGCACCTGATTTTAAACATCCCACTTCTCAGAATTGTGAGAAATAAATTTCTGTTGTTTAAGCCACTCAGTATATGGTACTGTGTTAAAGCAGCCTGACCACACTAAGACAGTTACCCATCAGCAACAAGTATGAATTTAAAAGAAGAGAGAGAGAGAGAGGAGAGAGAGAGAGAGAGAGAGAGAGAGAGAGAGAGAGAGAATGGAGTCAGGATGGAGGGAGAGAAGCAAATAAAGAATGGTGGAGAACAGTGAGAAATAAAAGAAAGAAGACTGTAGTTTTTAGGTGATTAACTATGGAAAGAGAAGAAAACAAAAGAAAATAGAACACAAAATTTACAATAGTTGAGCATCCAAAAGTCTGGGACCAGTTTTCTGAAGCAACGATGGTAGGGTCTGTCATTATAATCAACTAAAGTGACATAAAAATAAAATTGTATTACCTACAACCCTTTGAAGAAAAAATTATTTGGCTTTTATTGCAGGCAGATATAATCATATTAAATTGAGTTAAAAATATTAAAATCACTTATCTTTTATATATTTTATATATTTCATTTTGAATTATATCTGAGCTAGAATGGTTTTATATTTTTAAGAGATGTCAACCATAGTGTACATTCATTCATGTAGTTTTTTTAAATTTCCAAATCTAGATATTCACTTATTTTGTATAGCTCAGGTCAAATTTGGTTTCTGCAGGTCTTAAGCTGTTTCAGAATTAGTAACATCTTCATTACAACCTAACACAGTAGAAATTTAGATATCTGAGTGGACTTAAATAACGCTACTTAACATTAAGGTAAATCAAGGTGGTAAAGTAGTAAAAATCATATGGAGAAAAAAGATAAAACTATAAAGTTGGGTGATGTGGTAGCAAGAATCCTGGGGAAAAAAACAATGGGGGAAGTAAATTGTTGTTTTGGTTCTTGCATATGTTCACCTGCTGTTTTGAATAAATCTCCTAATATCTCTGAATCTCAGTCTTGCCAGCTGTAGTAAAATGGAATAATGCTTCATGTGCCCTTTGCAGGCAAAAAATTGATGATGCAGATGAAAGTACTTTGTAATCAAAACACTATATGCATGCACATTGATGGAACTTCTCCCAAACCAATTTCGTGCTGCTTCTATATAGAGGCAATATTAAACATTCTATTCATGTCTTTAGCATGAAGTCGTTGCTGTAGATGGTGTCCATGTAGTGTTCTATAAAAAAGTGATATTCTGATATTTTAGAAAATCCAGAAAAAAAGACAGAAGAGTTTGAGATTTGAACTGGAGATTATACACGGGAAATAGAATTCTGACAAGTAGATGATGGGGTTAACCACCTGCAAGGTATAATTCACATAAGCAGAGAGGGATTATAACTGTATAAGGAACAGTCAAAGACATGTTATCAATGTTACTCGAGAAATCATTTGAGTGTAAATGTGTGGTCAGGAAAGGTGTTTGGGTGTGAAGGACAATGGTATAGCTGTACTTTGAGTAAAAGAAGATTTTGTATAACCTCTATGGGCAAGGAAGAAAGTCATATATGGAAACTATTCAAAAGCTTATAATAATTACTCCTCTAAATAGTTCTTAAATAATGGATTTCAACCCTTGAAGACTCTGATTAAATTACATTGGCTGATACTACTATTTAAACTGTGGGGAGCTTTTATAAGGGTACATTTAAAAAACCAATTTGTAAGTGCCAAAGATTTCATTTAATTTTAACTTATTACTCATGGGGTCTTAGAATCTGTGTTCACTCTGGGATAATTTAAGGCAATACATGCGATGACCAGAGGGAATTTGTCACTGTAACATGGTAACAGTTTTGATCATTAAATTAAGGTAAGTCAAATATCTATTGTACATTTGATAAGATTATAAGGGGTAACTTGTTAAAATTTAGTGAGATCCCCAGGTTTATTAATAACTTGAGTCCTAGTATTGATTAAGGCTGTTAAGATTGGCCAATTGATCAATTTCAGCAGATATTAAAGTTAATTCAGGACTTACGTTGTAGAGGTGCAAAGAAACGGCATCATTTTTGCTGTATAAATTATTTTATTCAATTTAGTAAGTTTTGGATATTCTACTGAGTGAAATTGAATTATGGGCCACTCTTTCAGGTTTTTAAATTTTCTTTTAGCTTCCCCCCTCTGTATTCAGATTTATTCATTTCTTCGTTTTCTCTCTATCTCTCTCGTCTTTTTCTATTATGTGGCTACTAGATACACTTTGGGATGGGGAAGTGTCTCTCGGTGATGCTCATCTTTATATATTTCTTCCTCCAGGGAGCTTCAAATTAGTATCACCAGGGTTAGGGACCTCATCCATGGTAGATTTACCTTTTGATTCTGCCACAGGAGTGATATGAGTGTTCTTTCCTATAACCCTGAGGATCGGGATTTTCATTTTAAACAGAGGTAGCGGCAACCAGGCATTTTATAGGGTCTGAAAGAACCATGTGAATTTTAGGAGTGTGGACCTCAACAATTCTAATCTGCAAATAGTAACTGCTCTTCAAATTGTGACCACAATTCCTCCACATGAGCAACCACCTGAGGAGCCCTGGTATTGCACAGCGCAGTCTTTCCCTGGGCACTCTGTAGAATGGGATGCAGTGCTTGATTGAGACATGCAGTTAGTCATAGGGTAAGAGTCATTCCTCTGAGTTTAGCATCCATGGAAGCTTATGCTGGAATTGAGACATGATTCATTCTAGTATACACAAATAGATGTGGGCTGAGACACATAACCCAGTGCCATTTTAAGGGGAGTCCCAATCCCATACTCCTGCTCTTACATGACAATTTATTATAAAAGTTTATGACTGAGGTCAGTTATATCTGTAAGAGAGGCTCAGTAAAAACCAGGAAATGTTGCACAAAACAGCACAGCTCAAACTCACACCAGCCATTAGGCAGAAGCTTATTGTACATGCTTGCTACTAGGTAGCAGAACCAGTTTGCAAGCCAAAGTAAGAGAAGAAGGACCCCAGTATTTGCTGTCATGGTGTAGACAATCTTATTCACAAAGCCAATTGTTGTGACCTCTCTGAAGAATATGGATGCCCAACCACCCCAAATATGGCTTGATGTCAACATTCATGATTCTACACATGCACCTAGAAAGTATGAAAAGGCTTACCGTTTACATAATGAGGCTTTCTGGGGAGAGGAGGCCACATCTCCATACTGGTCCAATAGTACAGGTTGATTTGAATTTTTTTTATTTATTTTTATTTTTTATTATTTTTATTTTTTTATTTTATTTTGTTTTTTTTTCCTTGAGACGAAGTCTCGCTCTTGTACCCCAGGCTGGAGTGCAATGGTGCGATCTTGGGTCACTGCAACCTCTGCCTCCCGGGTTCAAGCGATTGTCTTGCTTCAGCCTCCCGAGTAGCTGGGATTACAGGTACCTGCCACCATGCCTGGGTAATTTTTGTATTTTTAGTAGAGATGGGGTCTCACCATGTTGGCCAGGCTGGTCTTGAACTCCTGACCTCGGGTGATCCACCCACCTTGGCCTCCCAAAGTGCTGGGATTACAGGGCATGAGCCACCGCGCCCGGCTGATTTGAATTTTTATTGTGGTTAGTCAGTGGGTCTTAACTGAGGGTTTCCAGAAGTAGGCAAGGACTTATGCCACTTCAAAGGTGTGAGCAGCTGAACATCAAAAATGGAGTCAGACGTTTTATTTCAGCCCCAAATTAATTCATGTATTTTTTACGATCACAGTTAAAAATCTATCAGGAGATTTAATAGATATTTAAAACTATTTATATGACAAAGCAAGATACCTAAAATAGCCAATAGAATTTTTTTGTTAAAGAATAAAATTGGAGGGCTTATATTAGCTGATTTCAAGACTTAATAGGGAGTAATAAAGACAGTATGGTATTGGTATAAGGCTAAGGATATAGACCAATTGGAAAAAACAGATTTTCTGGAAATAGACCCAAACTGGTATGATTAATTACTATATGGCCAAGAAGCCAATGTAATGCAATTAAGAATATATAACCTTTTCAACACTTGGTGCTGGAACATCTGAATACATATATTGGGAAAACAAGAACCTAGACCCTTACCTAACATTACACAAAAAAGTTAATTGAATGTGGATTATAGGCCTAATTGTAAATCATAAAATTTTTAAAATTCTAAACAAAAGCTTTTGAGAAATATTTGTGACATTGACTTAGGTAAAAGTTTCTTATACAAAGATTTTAAAAGGTAGGAACTGTAGACAAAAAATATACACATTTTATCAAAATGAAAACCTTCTCTTCAAATATACATTCAAGAAATGAAAAGGCAAGCCAGAGAAAATCTTTCTAATCTTTCCAAAACATGTATCAAACAGAAAGCTTCTATCAAGAATATATAAATTAAGCCTGTGAATTAGTAATAATTGGACAGACAAATTAATTAAAAGGAGGCAAAAGTTTTGAAGGGACACTTCACAAAGAAGACATATAAATGACAAATAAGCACGTAAAATGCTTAACATCACTAGTCATCATGCAATTCCAAAAACAAAAAAGAAACACAGTAAGATACCACTGCACACTCACTATAAAAGATAAAATTGATAATATCAGTTTTGGTAAGAATGTGGAATAACTGAAACTCATAGGATGCTAGTGGAAATGCAGTCACAGCCACTTTGGAAACAGTGTAGCAACATCTTTTTAAAATGTAACATACACTTATAGAAACCAGAAATCCCACCTATGGTTATATTTCACAAGAAAAGTGAAAATATTTGTCCACCTAAGGACTACTATGTAAATATTTACAACAGCATTATTTAAAATAACAAAAAGGCAGAAAAAACCTGGAAACAATCCAACCATCCATTAACTAGCATATGGGTAAATGAATTGTGGCATATTGTTACTATGGAATATTACTCAGCAGTACAAGGGAAAATACTAATATTCACAACAGTATAAGTGAATCTGGAAATGTTACTGTAAGTAAAATAATCTCACAAAAGGCTACATTCTGTGCAATTTATTCATATGAACTCTTAGAAAAAGTATCTAGGGTCAGAAATCAGATGGGTGGTTGCCTGAGGCTGGAGACTGGGAGAGGAGATGGCCTACAAAGGGTTATGAGAATGGAACTGTTTTCCATCTTTTTTTGTGTGTTGTGAGAATTAAATGTCAGTGCACAATTATCAAAATTTCTCCAATGTATAGTTAAATGGGTGAATACAACTTAATTTAAAAATTATGAAATAACGTCAGGTTTTAATTTTACTTTCATCAGTTTTTACCTTTGTGACTGAGCAAGTCACATAACTTTTATTTTTCTTCTCTACAAAATGGGGAAAATAATAACTATTTTGCATGGTGGTTGTGATGATGAGTGTAATACACAAAGTGTTTAGATTGTGCAGTCACATAGTTTTGTATATATTGAGAAAATGAGAGTGATTATTTTTATTAGTAGGAAACCACATGTTGAGTCAGGAAAAAACATTAGGTTGTTTTGCGTATCATATTATTCAGTCATAAAATGCAAGTAATTTCCATGTTTATGAATTAAATATGAAGATTGTTTAAATGCTCTTTAAAGTATAATTATTTTCAAAAGCTTAAATTGTATGAGGAGTTTTTCTAAACCAAATACATTTAATGATTACCTACAAATATATGGAATAATTAAACTTGAGGATGTGTTTGTTTTTATAAAGATATAACTGATGACTACACTACACCAAGGATAACAAGACAACAGGGCACAAAAATGGAGAATTAACCTTGCATTGTATTCCATAGAAGCACCATCTTTAAGGTAGTAATAGCAGAGTTTTTTTTTTCCTTTGTTTTAGGAGATGATAAGGTAGTCACACTGTTTGTTACATTATTTTATCTAGGATCTTGCAAGTCCAGTTTCAGAACAAAGTGACTAACTGTGTCTATATCATGGAAAGCATGCATCTTTAGCTAGGTGCATCCAAAGATAAACTATCAATATCCTTTAGAAAAGAGAAAAATTATTGCAGAGTCAAAATGATAGTGATAAATAAGTGACCAAAGGAAAAAGAGAATGAAGAGATAGGACGTTATACATTAAACTAAATAGTAGCATTATAAAATGTGCTAAATTATTTGGTCCATTATTCACAGTATCTGTTTCCTTGCTTTAAAATAAGTCATATAACAGCTGTAGTAATACATAAGTCTTTTTACAACTGAATACTTAAATGGATCTTAATACTTGGTGTATGTGAGTTATTCATAATATTGTCTGAGAGTTAAGGGGAAACCCCAGGAAATCTCCTTTGATTATCCTCTGGGGTGGAAGAAGTTTTTCTTCTTTTCAAAAATAGAGCAATAGTTAAATTTGAATATTAATATTACTAGCCTCCATGTGCCTCCACCACACTTTGGATAGGGATTTTTTTTTTAACTGCTCTGTCCCTTCATATGTGTTGTAGGTAACTACTAAGTCCTTTGGGCAATGTTTTTTTTCCCAATAACTTCACTCTTCCTTTTTTCTTTTTCATTCTGCTTTCTCATTACTCTTTTTCCATCTGGCCCAGTAATGTTGATGGTTTTTTTTCTTGCTTAAAAATAATACAACTCCAACCTTTGTTACACCTTTTAAAAAAAATATTATACTCTGGAATGGAGATATAAGAATGGGAATCATGAGTAAAGATAATTTACCTTTCAAAGAAAATTTGTCCAATTTGGTGTTTGGCTAAATAGAATATCATCTAAAATTTCAAAAGTGTATTATTCTAC
Source organism: Homo sapiens (assembly GCF_000001405.40). Taxonomy (NCBI): domain Eukaryota; kingdom Metazoa; phylum Chordata; class Mammalia; order Primates; family Hominidae; genus Homo; species Homo sapiens. Next base: position 145,538,594 of record NC_000007.14, read on the forward strand.
TTCCCTAGGACATAGTGTCTTTGGTCAGTGTTTGCTTTGAACAGTATGTATTTCTTTTCATCAGTCAAAATATGGTAATTTGGTGAAATTTGGTACTCAACAAATAAATGGCAGTTATAAACAAAATGCTGTTTCTCATCAGAGCAATGAAAAATTATCAAGTTTTTTGTTGTCAAGAGTAAAATAAGGTTTGCTGACTCATTTGGGTATGTTAAGTATAAGGCCTATGACATGCATCATGTTATCAATCCCAATTTATAGATATAAAATATATGACTATATTATTTTTCCTGTTTCCCCTGCAATTTAAATTGATCTTTTTAATATTTACCAGTTTGATAAATATTAAATGTAACTCATTGTTACTTTAATTTACATTCCTTTCAATATTGTATTTAAATATATCTTTTTTATTATTCATTTGGTTTAACTCTTCTACAGGTTGCCTATTCATATATTCTGTCAATTTTCTCTTTGTCTTTTTATAAACTAATGAGTTCATTATTATTATAGTTTTCCATTTTTTTCAAAATTGCTTATTCATGTATTCTGTAAACTTTTTCTTGCTTTGTTTTTTAATAAAGTAATGAGTTTCTTATCCTTATAGTTTTCAATTTTTAAGTTTTTTTCAATCTGCAATGCCATCTCTATCTTATATCATAGAGATACATGTGCATCAAAAATATACATCTTCCAGAACATCACTTACTATGATGACATTTATTGTGTGATTTGTCTTCTGCACACTGTCATCCCATAGAACACAATGAGCTGTGCCTTTTGCAGTTTCCTAGGCTAATGATGTTTAAGTATGTTGACAATTGGGCTGAGCTTTAAGTACCAAATATAGAATCACCATGTGAATAAAGAGGTCCAAAGAAAAAATAAGCAACAGGATTACAATAGGCTGTCAAGAAAATGTGAGTCCTGGGGACAAATACAATATTTTTTAAAGTGAGTTAATGCATATGCATACAGGCACATATACATTTCATACACGCACACACACGTGCGTGCACATATAAATAGGTATACATAAGTATGACACCTAACAATGATCATGTATAGCACAAACTTCAATTTTTGGAGTAAAAAATACCCTGTGATTTCCAAAAATAAAACCTTACATTTTGAGAGAAATGTCTTCATATTCTGAGCAATAATTACCAAATGAGGACAATCCTGCACAGAGGCCTAGGAGACTTATGCATAAAAATGAAAAGTTTCACATCTCACAAAACTTAAGTATGCATATGGAGAAAGAAAAAGGGAATAAAAATATTTTCTCGTGTATTTCTTGGGAAATTGGGGGTACAAAAGAGAGAGGGAAAATTCTAAATGTCTGAAGTCTATACATTGGTACCTTTAGAATTTCAGAAAAAAAGATAATGTATTACTTAGTCAAAGGAATGTAGTGAAATTAAAATCAAAGACACTAGAACTAGCCAGATGATTTTTTACTTAAATCCCACTTAACTGAAAGCAAGTAGATGATGTCATCAATGTTAAATGAATCAAGAGCATATACATGTTGTTTCTAAAAAAGCACCATACATTCACTCCAGATATGATTACGGTTAGAATGTTCTTCAACTTTGGCAGCACCTGATGTGAGATACTTAATTTTTGCCTCTGGGAAGGTTTGTAACACATCAGTGTAGCTAGATTTGAAATTTATGATGAATAATGATGTTGAGTGACGTATCATAAGGTTATTGGCCAATTGAATTCCTTTCCTTGATGCAGGAAATTTTTATTTTTAGTATGTTGTTCATGTTACACTGGTTTGTCTTGTCATTTCCTTGTTGACTTACAAAATTTCTCTACACATTTGTTGCTTGTCTTTTTAGTCTCTTCATGATGTACGTACAAAATTTTACAATTTCTTGATGCTTACATTTATCAATGCTTTATTTTATGATTAGTGCTTTTTGTGTCTCATTTAAGCAATTTTCTACCGTAAAGTCATAAAGATATTTTCCTACATGTTTTAAAAATTCTGTAGTTGTCTTTCACATTTAATTTTTAATATATATGTAGAATTGACTTTGTGCATAATGTAAAATTGTGGCCTACAATGAGTTCCTTTCTTTCTTTTTTCCTTCGTTTTTACTTTTCTCCCTTCCTTTTTTTCCTTCTTCTTTCATTTTTCTTTCTTCTTTGTCTATATGGATACCCACTGCTCCTTATTTATTGACATAGTTCCCTTTCCTCCTCTGATGTGCAGTGTCATCTCTGTCTTATATCATGAGGATACATGTGTATCAGTCAAGATCCAGTCAGTAGACAGGAATCTCATGATAACATGAAGAGAGAAAGTTTAACATAAAGAACTAATAACATGGGATTAGAAAAATAGTTATTTGTCAGTGAGATATAAAGATGAACTTAAAGAATACAGAAACTGCATGTATAAGGAGGAGCTACTACCTATAGGGCTGAGATAGAGTATCCGAGGAAGACCCCAACCCCACTCCTCCACTAAAAGACTGAGATCGAACTGTATTGGAGAGGGCCTGGATTTGGCTCATGGATAGTGGAGAGGTGCCATGCTGGACTCCCTGGTGATTGTCCCTCTGGACTGCACATCCCTGTGGTCATGCATTTTGAATTGTGGTAGCGTAATATATACATGCTTTCTGCAGTTAGCATTTAATCTGACTTGAAAATAAAGTTGTTTGCATAATGTAGCTTTGTAGTATTCAGAACTACAAAAACAAGCTCAACAGAGAAATTCTACAATGTGCTCCTAAGTATGACCTAAAATAATAAACTTACATACATCTGTGAAGTTTTAAATAATACCAGTGAATTTATACATAAAACATACCCATATAAAGCTCATATAGATGAGCGATATATTGGGAAATAACTGGTGCACAGGAGCAGCAGGATAAAATGTAGAGCAACCAAGTAGATACTTATTAGTATCCTTTTTATTACACTTATTATCTGTTTTGTAACATAAAACTAGTCATAAAGCAGTTTATACATAATACAACCTGATGTGTAATACAGAATAGCACTCATGAAAATTCAGCATCAAAATAGAAACCACTGGATGCACCTTCTAAGATGGTGGTGTCTGGGGCCAGTAGGTTTATGGTGGACATGTGAGAAGTTGTCAAATACTGGATGAATTTTGAAATAGTAGGGACAGAATTTGCTAATGAAGTTTGATGCATAATGTGAAAGCAAGAGAAATCTAGGATGACTTTCAGATTGGGGTGTGAAAAATTAGAAGAATATAGTTACCTTTGACTGAGATAAAAAAGAAAAATAAGTAGGGAGTATGGGGTAGGAGCAGGGATTGAGGATTTGAGCTTTGCAAATGCTCAGTTTGAGATGCGTCCTACAAACTATGAAAGAGGCAATTGAATACATGTGATTGGAAATCAGGGGAAGGATATTAGGTGGATAAATAAATTTGAGAATCCTCAGAGAATGAATGTGAAAATACATGGTACCTGCTTTGTGGATAAATGTTTAGAACATTCTGTGAAATATTTTAGTCTTTGGCTCTCATATATTGTTAAATAATTTTTGGAAGATTCTAGAGTTTTTAATGAAGAGTTAGGACAAGATTAACTTCTCTTATTATAGAGAGCATTTTAGGAACATCTAGGTACAGCAGTAAGGCTAGACTTAAGAATTACAAAGAGGCATGGCGTATTCCTAGTGAAATTACAGCTGAAAAAAAAGAAAAATTGTGCTGTAAGTGTATATAGATAAATTTTACTATAGCTTTTACAACCGAAGATCACTATATAATGCTCAGTATACCATGAAAAAGCGATTTGCTTATACATAAGATTGATACTGTTTTTAGAATGCTTTGACTATCGAGATCTTGTTTTAATCAAGAACAATAAAAATTTTAGATGTGCATGAAGATTATCTTACTTTCACTGAATTTAAATGTTTATTTGTTGTGTTCAATTACATTGAATTAGCAAAATGTATTTGTAAGTATTAGGCTTTGGGCAAAGCAATGACATTTAAGGAAACATAATAATAAAAATAGAGAGAATATTCCTAACTGTATAGCCAGTTATAGATTTTTAAAACTGTATTTTGTAATAGCTCATGCAAGGGAACTTTTATCAGGATTTGAAAATAATTGCCTATGAAATACTCATACATCACTCCCTGTGAATTTAGGAATCCAAGGGATTCTACATGTTACTTCTCTGTCTAAATAATTTTTAAAATCGGGTGTTACCACTCCAGTTAGTCTCTTATTTTCAAGAACTCATCTTGAAGATGTGCATAAAAATTCACTTGTCATTTTCTGTCTTCAAAAAGAAGCAGTTTGTGTGGCTTGCCAGACACATTTTTTTTTCTGCAAGTGACATTACAAAAGGATAAAGTTGAGGTTTTATGTACTAATTGGGTTGTAATTAGTTTGGTAAGAAAAGTAGTAGTAAATAAAGGTAACAGTAGGATTTAGATTGTGTTAGACCATAGTTGCCAGTTTATTTAATCTTATTTTGTATGTGTTGAGGGACAACTGAAGTTAGGAACAAGAATGCAATGCATAATAAGAAACATCTTGGGAAATTTATCCCAGTGCCAGTTATAAAATCAATGAGAATAGAAGGTATTTTCTCATCACACCAGTGTCTAACTTTGCAATCTTTCTATGAAGAATTAAAATCCTTACCAACAATTATTTATGTACTTCTAAACACTGGGCAATATACCATGTGTTTGGAGAAATAAAACAAAAATTGTCTAAATGTCTTCTAACCTTAAAGGGTTTGTGGTGTTATGAAACAATAGGAAGTAAATCAGAAAAGATAAATGTGATAGTAAGAAGATGCTGAGCATCATGAGAGTGATTAGGCAATTAAAAAAGAGGAAGTGCTTACGAAAATTTGAAAAAGATTTGTGTAACCTTTGAAACTGCTTATGTAGAACAAGATAATGACTTGATAGATGGGGTAAAAGTGCTGAGAATATTACACATGGGAAAAAGCATGCATAAAAGTCTATACATTAAATCGAATGTGAGAAGACCAATAAACCAATTTGTCTAAAGTGTAGTGTCACATAGAAAAGTAATAGTAAATAAGAATAAATGAGAGTAAGTGAAGGACTTTGATTGTGACAGACCATGATTGCTGGTTTATCTGGATCTCATTTTGTTTGTGTTGAGGATCCACTGAAGATTTTTGGAAGAAAGATACAATGCCTAAAAAACAGAATCTTAAGAAGTTTAGTGTAGTACAAGTTATAGGGTCAATGAGGTACCAGCTAGAAGTGAAGGACTTCAGGTATAAAGCAAAATGGGAAGCTTAAGCCTACATTCAAGATAAATGGTGGTGAAAATGCAGAGAAAAAAAACAAAATCAAGAGGAAAAATGAAAGCAAATTTAATATAATAAATGAGTGATTAAATTTGGAGAGGAGCATATCAAATATGAATATGATCTAGGTGAAATATCCACCACACCGCAAGAAACTGACACTCACAAATTTTCCAGAATCACTTTGGTAATAGAAGCTTATTTCAGGCATGCAGGGGAATATGAGATAGAAAACAGTACTCTTTCTAGCCATCTAAGTAGGTTTGTGTGCTTGTGGTGTTCTGTGAACTTCATGGAAAAACCAACATAATAATACCACATCTTAAATTCTTTTGGTTTTAGACAGTTTTAACATGAAGTTAATGAGGCTTACTATTCACTCTTTCTCAGTTTAACTGTCCTTTTAATGAGCCCTGCACATACTTTTGAGTTTACAAATTCACATATTCAAATATATTTTACAAATTGATTTACAAATCTACATATTCTCTTAAAGATCCCCACAGATTGTATCAGTTTTAGACCAACCAAAACCTGAGGTTTTACAGCACAAGTGGTAGGAATTAATGCAGAAAATATTTTTCTATTTCATCAAAAGCATCAAGGGACATAGCAAGTGCTTGCAGCATTAAAGACTTCTGCATCCTATCTAGTATAGATGATTAAGAGAATGATTTAAGTGTGGAAGTTCAGTGACTGGGTTTGGTGGTGCATTAGTTTTGATTGATGTATTTTGGCATGGAGAATGTAAGAAGATAGGCACCATATGGCAAAGGGTAATAACCTACAGAAACACAAGAGAAAGGCCAGGACAGCTCATCTATGTACTGCTGTGCTTGGCTTGTGTTCAGAACTGTCTATATAAGTGATTGGTCACTCAAGCATATTCTGATTTGAAAGAGACATCCTGACAAAGACAGGCACTAGGTTAGGCACATGATCTTAAATAGAATCTTAAAAAAAAACTTGACTTACTTTTGCTCATTAAAATTTTTCATTTGAATTTGAAACTTGAATTCTGGAACCTCTAGGTGTTTGGTTATCCCAGAAGAGTTTATTGAGAAGCCTGGTTCAAGGGTATCTTTGATATTTCCAAGAGATAGTCTCCAAGGGGAGCAGTATTCCCTTTTATTAAAAAAAGAATCCTTCCATCTGTGCTCATCAGCCTACACCCTTCCATTCCCATGAGGATATTATTAAGATTGGTGCTCTCCCCAATGTATTTAACTTTTTTCTTGCTGGTGACTTCTTAAAAAAGCATTTAAGGATCTCAACATCTTTCCTACATATAAAAAAATTATCTCTGTTATCTACTTCTTCCCATGACTACTTTCTCATCTATCACCTCTCCTACTTCATTAAATCCTTCCTCATTTTTATGTCAGAACCTCAAAGAAAGAGTCAGTAGTGGCCACCTGTTTCTGCACCTCTTACTCCTATATTCCCATGAACTGCCTTCACACTTAAGCCACTACCACTCCACTGGGATCACACTGACCAGTGCCATTGATGACCTCATTATTTAATCCATCCAGTAGAGTCTTTCCAGGTCTCTATTTTTTATATCTGCATTGTTTGACAACATTGACGACTTTTTTTTCTTAAATATTACTTATTCTGTTGGTTTTCATTGATTTCACTCAGTCGTTCTCTTCTGGTTCATTCTTCACAGTATTTTTGTAAGTCATTCACTCGCTGTCTACGCTTATAGGTTGTGGTCTTCAAAATTATTTTCATTTTAATGTTTTTCTTGCTCTCCATACATATTTGAAGTGGGCAATGATATTCAACACCATGCAGTTTATTATAAAACTCTAAATGGCTACGCTTGCCACTTTTTACCCTGTGTATTGACCTCACATGAGCTTGATCTCTTCTTGTCCTTCATCTCAAATCCAATAATATCCACTTGATCATTAAGGTTTTTAAAATTTATTCCCAAAATATTTTACCAGTGGTTTTTGTCTCCTTTCCTACATCACCATTTCATTATCACCACTGTAAAATAAGTCCCTGTCAGATCTCCTAGTCTTTCCTGACTTAACCTTTTAATCTACAGTCTATGTTATAGCCATGTTTATAAGCCTAAATATAATACCTTACCCCTGTGCTTAAAAAGCTTTTATATCTGTCCCCACCATTTACAGAACATATCTTTAGTGTGACCCAGTGGGTAATACCCTTCACAATTTAATCCTAATCTAAAATTTCAAGGCATATTTGTGTGTGTGTGTGTGTGTGTGTGTGTGTGAAAACATAAATATAATACCCTCAACACACGTGGCCATTAATGCAATTTTGTTGACGTTAAGAATCCTGATAGGATGGATTCACAGAATCATAAAATCATAGAACATTAATCCTAATATAATCCAGACAAAAATTAATACTCAGAGAACTAATCAGTTGTTTAAGTGCATAAAATTTGTTATTGACAGAACAAGAACAAAAGCCATAGTCTAACACATTTGGAGCCATTAGCCTCCTTCTCTGCAATGCAAATACATCCTACAAATCTACAGACTTAGGGCATCAATACATTGGTAAACAGAAACTACCAACTGGTTATATTTATTCAATTGTTACTTGGTAATTGTCAACCCCTTGTTTTGTACATCTGGCTACCATCCAAATTCCAACTGGGATTCTCTAAAAATCTTCACAGGTAGCTTATCAATTTTTTTGTTATTTGACTTTCAATCAAAGATGAGTTGTTGTCTGATTGTTATTTTATACTGAGGTACTAGATATTTATCAATATTAACTTCTTAAGGACCAGTAATAGGGAAATTCATGCTAATTATAAAACATTTTAGTATTAAGAATTATAGTGAGAAAAAAGAGAACTATTATTTCTTTCTTCTCACCATTCTCTTCTAGCAAATGACACTATCTCTTCAAGATAGAATCACCATAAATTTTCATATATTTTCAAAATATCTTTACTTTTGTTCCATTTATTAATAGTTAAGGATTATTTGGTTGTGTTGACATGGAAAACCAAAACTTGATTAAGTCTGTTAGTTATAAGAAATATTAGAGATTTGTTTTCATCATTCATTTTTATAATAATAGGAAGAAGTATAACTAAATGATTTGTTATAACTTTGTGAATGACTTCTTATGGTAATCAGGTATAGAGAAGGCAGTCTCCTTATTTCCTTGGCATGGGAAATGGCATATGGCTGATACAATTTCCTAGTCTTATTTGAAACAATGGAATACCATTTTTAAAGTTGCCCATGAAATAGGCTGGAGGGACACATCCTGTCATCAGAGATTTAAATGAATTTTTAAAAATAGTGTTAGTGAACCACATAGTTTCTTTTAAAACATTTCACAAAAAGTAATTGACTTTTTCTTTCCCTACTTGCTTATTAGGGAGTTGATAGATATCAGAATCACTGTGCTTTGAATACTGGCATATATTATGAAATTTGGTTAACAAAGCTTTGATAGTTAAAGGGTCATTCTTTTGAAACAGTTAATAACTGATGGGCATAGTCCTCAAAGTGTTGTTTTCCTTGAATGGATTATGCATTTTGGAACTCATTGCTTTTTAATTTAGAATTTGAAATTAACTCATATCATAGCCATTATTGCAGGAAATGACCACCTGCCATCCCCATATGTTGGCTTTAATTATGAATATTTCCTCCATTCTATAGAAGATCAAACGAGGACCAACATTTTATGAAACATATTTAAGCAAATAATATCTTATTATGAGGAGTTTCACAGCAAATAAATAAATAAATAAGATGACTTGTGAAAAAAGTAATGTTAGAGACATAGCAGATGGTTCATAGTAAGAGGTTTGTTAAGTTAGTTACATGAAGCTATGAGAACGCAAAGGCATGAGAGTGATACATTGGATTCTGAGGACTTGGGAAATAGTGGGAGGGGGTGAGGATAAAGACTAATTGGGTACAGTGTACACTGCTCAGGTGATAGGTGCACCAAAATCTCAGAAATCACCACTAAAGAGCTTATTCATGTAACCAAAAAAAAAAAAAACCCCACTTAAAAAAATCTTTCACAACTCATAATGCTTTATAATAATTTTTTAAGATCCTGCTCATAGCACAGTAGTTCTAGTATATATTTTCATTGGTATTTGCTTGGTTTGATGGTAATTCTTTTTCTCCCCTCTGTCTGCCTCCCTTTCCATTTTTTCTTCCTTTCTTCCTTCCTTCTTGCTTTGCAATTTACATCAAGCAACAATCAGCTTAAATAACAGTTAACTTTAGACAACATTTCTAAGGAAAATTTTATAATCCCCATCTGACCATTTGGTTCCTTATTAGCAGCTCTCATTTTCCTTTTGGCTTATTCTACAGCAAGCATTAGTATGTTCTTTTTATGTTCCAGATACTTTATAGTTTCTGGAGGTACAAATCATATTAGAACATGGTCCTTTCATTCAGTGACCTCTCAGTGAAAGGCTAGGAACAGCCCTGTCAATATAAGGTGAGTGTCAAAATCGGGGCACAAACAAGCAATACAGCGGCTACTCTAGTGTGAAGAACTTACCTGCCTGGAAAGCTCAGGCAAGTAAATTTATTGGAAATAACAGTAAATAATTTTGATGTTGATAAAGTATGGGCAACAACATGAAAGATGCTTAAGAATTTTCTAGGAAGAGTCATCCTCATGGAGATGGTGGGGATGATTAAACAAATGTGAATTTCCCAAGGTTGACAGTTGTTCTCCTGGGTAACTAACCTCTGTCTCATTTGCAGGAAATCACTGTCGTTATTCTCAACCTATATGTCAGCTGAGAATCCTTTCTTAATCTGCCATAGTATATTTTTATTTACAATGTCTGTCTTTGAAAACTAAAAGTTGTCTTGTACAAGAAAAAGAGTTTCCAGGGTTGTAGAAAACAACATTTTAAAAACTGACTGAAGGCTAAGTGTTTTGCTTATGCAATTTTATCAAATCCTTTCTACCATATTATTAATATTAGGGAGATTTGTTACAAATGAGTGAACTGAGAGTTAGGTCAAGTAAGTCACATAGTGAGTAAGAGATTATTCAGAATTTGAAATTAAATTCTATACTCAGCTTCCCTAGAATGAGGAAGATAGTGGAGTACAACCTTTGACTCTTTGCTTTTTTTGTTCTTTCATTCTTATTAGAATTCAACTGAACCTCCTAGTTCCCATTTTATTTATGGTATTCTCCCATCTCTGTCACTCAAATTCTAACCGATACTTCCAGACTCAGACCAAATGCATTTTCTCTAAGAAATCTTTTCTGATTACTTATGACAAAGTATTATTCCTCCTCTGAGTTTCTCAATGATTTGCCTCATTTGCCTAGTAGCAATTATCAGGGCACTGATTAAATGAATACCTCCGTGAATTCTAATCTCAAAAATTTTAAAAAGAAAAAATACCCACTAAATTTCTATCTGCCTTTCATCAGTGTCTCTTGGGTACACCAAGCATAGCATTCCTTCCTTCATAGAGCTACAGAAGCCTAATAATATAAAGATGCAGCTTTTATCTCCACGAAGTGAGACGGATCTGGCTCCTTTACGACAGACCCTGCTTAAAAATAGCACTTTCCAGCAAGTGTTTCTGAAAACACCCAGTAGTGGCAATGATCTTTGTTGCTGTTTCTAACACTGACATAGACATCTCCACTTTCTCTTGTTTCAGCTTGACAAACATATCTTTATTCCAGTCCCTGAAACTAAAATATTATCTTACTTGTACAAATAAGTATATCCTGCCACATCTGAGATTTTACTTGTCTGAATATGTTTCCATAGTACAACCTCACATGGAGTTGAAATTTGCAGAATTTCCATTGTTGACTATCTGGTCTAAATAGCTTCAACCTATTAAGCAACGTTAAACATTTATAGTGAAAAATAAATATCATATGATGGAACCGTAGAGTACATAGTCTTTTGTGTTTAACTTCTTTAACTTCATTTAATGTTTTTGAGATTTATCCATGTATTTGTTCTTTTTTATTGCTGAATATTATCTCATTTAATGAATATTACACATTTTTTTATTTATTCAGTATTTGAAGGATATTTGCAGTCACCATTTCTAGTTTTTCCAATTACAAACAAAATTGGTGTAAACATTTGTACTGAGATCAGTGCATGGATGCACACTGAGTCTTTTGAATAAATTTCTAGGAATAAATTAGCTGTAGTAGTATGTATAGTAGCATATGGTAGAATATATTTATATAAGAAACTACTGCTTTCTTTTTCAAAGTGACCATACCATTTTGAATTTCTATCAGCGATATATGAAAGCTTCAATTGCTCCACGTTCTTGCCAGCACATGATACTGTCAATCCTTTTACTTTTAGCTATTATACTCTGTGTAAAGTACAATCTTACTATTGTTTTAATTTGCATTGCTGTGGTGATTAATGATGTTATGCATTTTCCATGTATTTATTTGTCATTTATATGCTTTTTTTGGTAAAGTGTCTGTAAAATATTTTTATCCATTTATTACATTGATCTGTTTCTTTTATTAAATTTTAAAGGTTATTTATATTTTGGAAACAGGCACTTTATAAGAAATATCATTTGTAAATCTGTCCTCCCAGTTTGAATTTTTTATTTTTAATATTTAATTGTAAATATTGGTGAGTACATAGTAGGTGTATATATATTTACATGGGGTATGTGAGATATTTTGATACAGACATGCAGTATGTAATAATCACATCACAGAAAATGGAGGGTCCATCCCCTTAAGCATTGATCCTTTGTATTGCAAACAGTCCAATTATACTTTCAGTTACTTTAAAATGTACAATTCAATTATTTTGACTATTGTCACCCTGTTGTGCAATCAAACGCTAGGTATTATTCATTCTTTCAAACTATTTTTTGACTCATTAACCATCCTCACTTTCCCTGGCCATATACCCCACTACCCTTCTCAGCCTCTGATAACCATCCTTCTACTCTCTATCACCATGTGTTCAATTATTTGATTTTTACATCCCACAGATAAGTGAGAATATGCAATGTTTGTTTTTCTGTTCCTGGCTTCTTTCACTTAACAAAATGACCTCCAGTTGAATCTTGTCTTATTAACTTAAGCATGTTTTTCATACAACAAAGCCTTAAAATTAGGATATAGTTCAATTTTCATTGTTTCCTTTTATGTTTTATGCCTTTTTGTAACTTATAAAATGTCATTGCTTAACTGATGGTTATAAAGCTTTTTCCTACAGTTCTTTCTAGCTTTATAATTTCAGTTCTTACATTTAGCTCTATGATCAATTTCACCTTATTTTTTTATATATGGTACAAGGCAGGATCGTTGCTCACTTATATGCTCATCTATGTTTACATCATACATTTCCTTCTTGGGATTTCAAAGATTCTTGCCTCTGTGGCATATTGTCATTTGTTAATTAAGAAAGAAAAAATATTGTATATGAACTCTTCAAATATTCTTCTCCTATTCCCTTTTCCTTTACCCTCTTGGACTCTAATTGCATAGAATTAGATTTTAGATACTATGAAATTCTTCCATAGCTCTAAAATGCTTTATTCGATACTCAGTCATGTTCAGTCTGCTGATAAAGTGCATCAAAGGAGTTTTTAACCTCAGATAAATTTTTTAAACTGCTAACATAGCTGACTTTTAAATAGTTTTAATCACTCCTATAAAATTTCCTATCTTTTCATTTATGGCCCCTATCTTTTACTCTATAGCCTATAAGTATTAATCATATTTATTTACAATCCCAGTTTAATACTTGCAACATTTGGGTCATTTCTGGTTCTAGTTCTGTGAACTCCTTTATCTCTTGACTGTATTCATCAGAACCAGAACTAAAGTTGTATTGCTTTTTTTCCCACTTTTCTGTGTTTTGTAATTTTTTAATCAATGTTGGACATTGTATGCAGAAGAATAATAGAGCTTGAGGCATAACCTTTTTGCCGGGGAATGGATGCTCCTCTTCTCTCAGGCTGTTAGCATGGTTGTTTGCTCCAATATAGACAATTCATTTGGCTGGTTTGGGGTTTTGTTGTTGCTATAGTTATTTTCAGTGCCCTATAGTTTTCAAATTTCTCCAGCATTAGACATTTACTCCTGTGTGTTCAGTGTGAGGGTTGCAGAACACTTTTCTCAGTGTTTCTGCACCACCTCAGTGTTTGGAAGCCATTGCATATCTATGGCACAGAAGGATTCTCTCTTCCTTCTGCCTACCCTGGGAGTATATTTTGACCCTACATACCTTAGTACAAGGGTTGAACTTTTTTTACTCAGTGTTTCTGCTCCAGCCCCAGTCTAAGCCTCTATGTGCCTACGTGTCTAAATATGGCCAAGGGGTGGGGTTTTCTTAATAGGTTTGCTTCTCTCCCTCTGCTAAATAGTGTCTGCCACATAGTGGTGGACAATCTTGTTCTGGAGCAGATCCCTGCTTCTTTTCCAGCCCTAGCAGATATCTTGAGCTATTGTGAGATTCTGGACTGAAGCAAGTTTTTGTTCCTCTCCCAGTGGCAGATGGCTTTTTCTTTACCCCTCTCTCAGATCCAGCAGAACTTTTCCTTGAATTATGGGATGGATGAGCATGCTGCCCTTCCTGTTGCTTTTACTTTTTAATCCAGCAGCAATGGGTCTTTGATTGCTTCTGGGAAGATATAGGGTTTGTGCTTTTCTCCCAGTAATGAAGACTTTTGCTTCACAGGGGAGCAAAGTCGGGCAAGATTTTGTGTCACTGCACCACTGAGGAACGCTTTTCCTTGTCTCCTGTGCTGTACTCAATCTCTTCGGTGAGCACCCTGGGAGGCCCATGGAAAAGATCTTGGGTTTGACCCCTCCTTGTGTCTGGGGCTCCAACAGATTCCAAACAGTCACAATAGTTCACACTATTGGTGTGATCAAAATTGATACCTGTGTTTATATGCATAGAGTATCTCTGGAAGAGTACAGAGAAAATAAATAAGAATAATTGACTCTTGGAAGGGAAATCTAATGGGTACAGAGGGCGGAAGGATTACTTATTTTCATTTAAAATGAATTACATTCATTTTATTGCTTAAGTATTTTACCATGTACAGTTTTCATCTAGAAAAAAATAGCTAAAGACAATAGTACAAGCAATTTAATTTAGTGTTTGAATTGATTAATGTATGTATGTTGTTTCCATAAAGAAATACTTCACTAAAACAATAGAAAGTGCTGGACATGTACATTTTTAAAGTTTTTATGTATTTTTTCATTTTACTTTTGAGACAGCATCCTGCTTTATCACTCAGGCTGGAGAGCAGTTGTGCAATCATTGCTCACTTCAGCCTCGACCTCCTGGTACCAAGCAATCCTCTTGCCTCAGCCTCCTAAGTAGCTGGTACCATAAGTGCAAGTCATCACACCCAGCTCTGGGCATAAGTCTTAAGTCATGTTCTGAAACATCTCTGAGACAGATGTTCTTATGTTATAATCAGTAACTTCTGTCTCATACAGGTAGTTCTTGACTTTGACTGCACAATAACATAACCTGGAGACCTTTTAAAAAATGCTCAAGTAGAACCTGCACTAAGATATTTTTAATGTATTAGAATTGTATACAGACTATGTATTTTCTCTTTTATTCAATATTCTGTTTTATTTCCCCTTTCACGAGGCACAGTACAGGAAAAATATTAAAATATGAATGATTAATAAATATTTTAATAATACAAATAAATAATATAAGCAAGTATATGTATATATGTATGACCCAGATTAAGAAATGGAATATTGCCAGCCTTTCCTATCATGGTTTCTCCACTTCCTCCTCTGTCAGTGCCTCTAAATAATGACTGTCCTGAATTTTAGGTGGGTTATGCCTTTGTTTTACTTTGTAGTTATGCCTCCTAAAAATACAATTTTGCATTCCTAAAAACATAGTTAGGTTTTATCTGGTATAGAACCCCAGAAAAAGAGAAATCTATTATATTACTTCATGTCTTAATAATGTCTATTAATACATTAATAAAAGTTTTATTTTGTATTTTATTTATCTTTTTTTTTTTTTGAGACGGAGTCTTGCTCTGTCGCCCAGGCTGGAGTACAGTGGCACTTACTGCAAGCTCTGCCTCCTAGGTTCACGCCATCCATTCTCCTGCCTCAACCTCCTGAGTAGCTGGGACTACAGGCACCCACCAACATGCCTGACTAATTTTTTGTATTTTTAGTAGAGACAGGGTTTCACCATGTTAGCCAGGATGGTCTCGATCTCCTGACCTCGTGATCTGCCAGCCTCGGCCTCCCAAAGTGCTGGGATTACAGGTGTGAGCCACTGCACCCGGCCATCTATTTTTAAAAGTACCTGCATCTACATTAACTTTTCACTGCTGTACTGTATTCCAGTACCTGAGCATAGCATGCTATGTATATCTTTTCTACTCTTGATGGATATTTGTATCATATCTTGTTTTGGGTTATTGCAGACAATGCTCTCCTAAACTATCATATATATATATATATATATATATATATATATATATATATATATATACACACACACACACATACATATTTTTAAATTTTTAAATTATTTTTAAAATTGTGGTGGGTATATAGTAGGTGCATATATTTATGGGGTACATGAGATGTTTTGATACAGCATGCAATGTGAAATAAACACATCATGGAAAATGGGGTATCTATCCCCTTAAGCATTTATCTTTTGAGTTACAAACAATCCAGTTATATTTTTATGTTATTATAAAATAGACAATTAAGTTATTATTGACTAAAATCACTCTATGGTGCTACAAAATAGTAGGTCTTATTCATTCTTTCTATTTTTTTTGTACCCATTAACCATCCCTACCTCTCTACCAACCCCCACTACCCGTCCCAGCCTCTGATAACCATCCTTCTACTCTCTCTGCCCATGAGTTCAATTGATTTGATATTTATTTTGGTGTTCATTTGCAGAATTTTCTCTAGAGTATAGATTAAGGAGTTGATTTGTTGAGTCAAAGGTAGGCATATCTAGAATTTTACTATATTAGATAATACCGTTTTTCAAAATGGCTGTTTTCAGGTACATTCCTACCAGCAACGTGTAGGAATAAACATTGATCCACAGATTTGCCAGTCCTTGACTTTGTCAGATTATTTTTGAAAGAAACTTGGCCATGTGGTAGATGTGTAATGGTACATAAAAGTCTTTTAATGTGCAAAGTTTGATATAAAGCAATTGCTGATTGCCTCCTAACCTCTAACCTGGCAATTTGAAGAGATTCATCCCAATGAGATCATTAATTTCCCAATAACACCATGCAATATATTACATCATGATTATTTTGGTTCCCACTCATAAAATTATGGAAAAATATTACTTACATGTGCATTTCTATGACTACTAATAGACTTCATACCATATGTTTGTAAGCCTCTTGGATTTTTTGGTGTGCAATGTATATTCATGTTTGCTTTTTGTCCATTTTTCTTTTTAGATCTCTATGTTTTACATTTTGATATGTAGGAGTTCTTTATATATTGTCCATATTCACCTTGTTTTAGTTATATTATTGTGTATATATTCTCTGAATTTGGGACTTGCATTTTCACTTATTAGATGATGTCTTCTGATGAATACCTGCTCTTAATTTTAATTAGATGTCTTAATGATTTTTATTTTTATTGATGTTGTTTTGTGTCTTGATCAATAAATCTTTCCCTACCTCAAGATCATGAACATATTCTCCTATGTTATCTGCCAGGAGTTTTATGGATTGCTTAACAGTTTTACATGCAACTGTGATCAGACTCTGACAAATTTCACTGAACTCTCAAAATGTTTCCAATTGTCATCTCAGCTTTCAAACCTGTGTGAAGATTCTTCCATAACCAACTTTTCAAGGATGGTTTTTTCCTTTTTCCTTTTTCTACCTTACTCCATTCAGCATCAGGATCCACTGCCCATAGAGTTGGAAAAGTTTTGTTTCTAATTCACCCTTACCCTGAGAGTAGGTCCCTTTGGAGAGCAAGCTCAAAATGAACATCTTCTTCTAAAAGTTACCCCTAAAGAGGGAGGATTTAGCCTTGCCTTCTGCTATACTTATCTATAAGGTTCCCCCAAAGCAAGCTCAAGTTTGCTTGGGCTGGCCTCTCATCCTCAAGGCAAAATTGTTTTTGTTGCTTGAGGGTTTTTCATACAACTTTTATATCCCATTTTCTCTTAGATGTTTGCCTGGTAGTTTTCTTATTATCCTGTCTACATTATAATGCATTTAGGAAAATGATAGCTTTAATTCAACTAATATATTTTATTGTGTTTAGTAGAAAATTTATTCTAAGTGTGATGGTTAGTCTTCTACATCAACTTGGTGGGACTACAGTAGCCAGTTAAATTGTAAAATATTAATCTAGGTGTTGCTGTAAAGTTACTTTTTATATGTGGTTAACATCTATAAGCAGTTGACTTTAAGTAGAGGAGATTTCCTTCAATACTGTAGGTGAGTCTTATTCAATCCCTTCAAAGTCTTAAAAGCAAAAACTGATGTTTCCCAGAGAAAAAGAAATTCTGCCTCACGACTGCAGTACCAATTTCTGCATGAGTTACCTACCCACTTGCCAGCCCTACATATTTGGACATTCTAGCCCCCACAACTGCATGAGACATTTCCTTAAAATAAATTCAAGTGTTACTATGGAGAACCCTGACTGATACACTGAGCTGTCTTATCATTACTGAAATTGAAGTTCTCTCTCTCCCCACTCCCTCTTTCTCTCTCAGTATTGGTTTCTGTCTGTCTCTCTTCCCAAACATAACAGCTTAATTTTGTTTCAGGGAAATGCTATAGCTTCCAATATCTCTGATGAAATTTATCAGGGAGCTTTTCTTTTCCTGAATTATATATTTTGTTTCTGATAAGCTCTTCTGCTTCTTTATCTTATTCTTACTCTTTTATATTTCAGGCTTTCCTCAATATTTGAGAATGCTTTCAAGGCCAGTTGAGAACCTTGTGCATGTGGGCAGGCTGATAAGCTTTAGTTTAGATGCGAATCTTGGAACTGAGGCATTTTTATGTGGGATCTTCAATACTTGAGTTAAAAGGGCATTACTCTGGTGTTCTACCATTTTTTTATCTACTCTGTATCACATTAGATCATGTAGCCACTTTTTCCTAGAAAAAAGTCTACTATTTATTCCACTGATATTATTTCCACTGTATTCAGACACTTCTCATTCTTGGTTTTCCCTCACCCTCTATCTTTGTGTTCAGAACCTCTCCAGGTTTACAAGAAAAAGTTGGCTTCATCCTCTACTTCCACTCTAGACAGCAACTTATTTTTCTTTATTTATTGACTTTATATTTCATAAACGTGCTGAAATTTTTTGTTTTATTCTCTTTTAGATAATGCATCTGCTTTAAATAATTTTCTTACTTTGAAACAAGGTATTAAAGGAAGAGTTATTTTTTTAAAAATTAAATTGACAAGTAAAAATTGTATATTTTCATCATGTACAACATATTTTGAAACATGAATCCATTGTAGAATGGCTCAATTGAGCTAATTAACATATGTATTATCTCATATGCTTACTTTTTTGTGGTGAGAACGCAAAATCTACTCTCAGAGATTTTCAAATAAAACACATTGTTATTAAATACAGTCACCATGTTGTAAAGTAGATCTCTTGAACTTGTTCCTCCTATCGATCTGAAATTTGAATTCTTTGACCAAGATCTTCTCCCCAACAGCCGTTGTTCCCCACAGCTCCCACCAGTCCCTGGAAAACACCATTCTACTCTCTACTTCTGTCAGTTCAACTTTTTTTATATTCCATATATAATTGAATCATCCCATATTTGTCTTTCTGTGCCTGACTTATTTCACTGAACATAACGTTCTCCAGGCTCATCTATATTGTTACAAATGGCAAGATTTTTTTTTTATTTCTTTAAGGCTGAATAATATTCCATCGTGTATACAGGCCACTTTTGTTTTCTGGAGACCAGCTCCTTTGTGCAGGCCTGGTGCCTGGGACCACGAAGCCCTGCCTTCAACCCTGACTCTGTGGGGTCTGGCTTGGTGCTGGGACAGGCCAGAAGCCAGAGGGTGCTGGGTCCAGCTCTGCACTGGGGTCAGTCCAGAGCCTGGGGACACTGGAGTTTGCCTGGAGTTGGGGTGGACACAGAGACTGAGTATGCAGAGCAGGCCTGAATGCTGAGGCTGCAAGATCCAACTTGGCACTGGGACAGGCCTGCAGGCTTGATCTCCAGGTACCTGCCTGAAGTCTGAGGCCATGGGGACCTGCCCAGCATTGAGTTTTACTGGGGTGGGCGTGATGTTGGGATCTAAGGCAAAGTGTGGTGCTCACTTCTCTCTCCTTTCACCACACAGAGGGTATCTTTCTCCGTGCTGTGCACCTAGGGTTGAGAGCAGGGGTAAAACAGGTAATGTAATACTGTTCCTCCTACCCTCTTTGATGTATCTTTTTTTGTTTCTTTGCTATAGCCATGTGCTGTAATCTCTTACTTCCTTTCCTAAGCTCTTGTGAAAGTATTTTATTGCTATTGAGAGACATGAGTGCTGTCAAGTCCCATTCCACCATCTTGCAGACATGAGTCTCTTCAATCAAGTAATTTTATGTTTCTGTATAATTCAATATCTTAATCCAAAAGCCGATTTTATATATTAAAAAAGATGATAAATAAAATCAGTTGCTTATATTTTTAAATTCTCTCACATTAATGAGTATTTTACTGGAAAACTGCCTTTCACCTTTGCTTTCAATTTCAATGTATTTCTCATGGTTTATCCTGTTGTTAAAAGCCATAAGCTGCTAAAAGACTGCATAAATTGCTTTTTTCCTGCTTTTCTAGTTTCTGCCCCTTCAATTATGTGGTAAAACTTAATTATCTCTGATGAAACTAATGTAGGCAGGGAAGAAAAAAATACTTGGTAAAGCTCCTACTATATACTTGATTAATCATAAAACCAAGGCTCATTGTTAATTTTGATTGGAATGCTGAAATATAATATGTTGGAAAGCATAGATTCAGTTGCAATATGTGCACTCACAAGGGGAAGACAAGCTCAGGTTATGCTGGAAGGAATAACAGCTACAATAAATGGTTCCTTCTGAACATGTTTAAGCTGATTGGCAAAATCAGAATCTTTAAATTCAACTCTTCATAATTTCAGAGTTTGTGCCACTGATTTCCAAGTTATTTAAGCATCCAGACTCAATTACATATCTCTTAAATTATTCTGTATATTACTATATGCTCTTTTGTTGTTGTTTTTTTTTTCTTTTTCTTTATTTATTATTATTATACTTTAAGTTTTACGGTACATGTGCACAATGTGCAGGTTAGTTACATATGTATACATGTGCCATGCTGATGCGCTGCACCCACTAACTCGTCATCTAGCATTAGGTATATCTCCCAATGCTATCCCTCCCCCCTCCCCCCAGCCCACAACAGTCCCCTGAGTGTGATGTTCCCCTTCCTGTGTCCATGTGTTCTCATTGTTCAATTCCCACCTATGAGTGAGAACATGCGGTGTTTGGTTTTTTGTTCTTGCCATAGTTTACTGAGAATGATGATTTCCAATTTCATCCATGTCCCTACAAAGGACATGAACTCATCATTTTTTATGGCTGCATAGTATTCCATGGTGTATATGTGCCACATTTTCTTAATCCAGTCTATCATTGTTGGACATTTGGGTTGCTTCCAAGTCTTTACCATTGTGAATAATGCCGCAATAAACATAGCTGTGCATGTGTCTTTATAGCAGCATGATTTATAGTCCTTTGGGTATATACCCAGTAATGGGATGGCTGGGTCAAATGGTATTTCTAGTTCTAGATCCCTGAGGAATCTCCACACTGACTTCCACAATGGTTGAACTAGTTTACAGTCCCACCAACAGTGTAAAAGTGTTCCTATTTCTCCACATCCTCTCCAGCACCTGTTGTTTCCTGACTTTTTAATGATTGCCATGCTAACTGGTGTGAGATGGTATCTCGTTGTGGTTTTGATTTGCATTTCTCTGATGGCCAGTGATGGTGAGCATTTTTTCATGTGTGTTTTGGCTGCATAAATGTCTTCTTTTGAGAAGTGTCTGTTCATGTCCTTTGCCCACTTTTTGATGGGGTTGTTTGTTTTTTTCTTGTAAATTTGCTTGAGTTCATTGTAGATTCTGGATATTAGCCCTTTGTCAGATGAGTAGGTTGCAAAAATTTTCTCCCATTTTGTAGGTTGCCTGTTCACTCTGATGGTAGTTTCTTTTGCTGTGCAGAAGCTCTTTAGTTTAATTAGATCCCATTTATCAATTTTGGCTTTTGTTGCCATTGCTTTTGGTGTTTTAGTCAGGAAGTCCTTGCCCATGCCTATGTCCTGAATGGTAATGCCTAGGTTTTCTTCTAGGGGTTTTATGATTTTAGGTCTAACATTTAAGTCTTTAATCCATCTTGAATTGATTTTTGTATAAGGTGTAAGGAAGGGATCCAGTTTCAGCTTTCTACATATGGCTAGCCAGTTTTCCCAGCACCATTTATTAAATAGGGAATCCTTTCCCCATTGCTTGTTTTTCTCAGGTTTGTCAAAGATCAGATAGTTGTAGATAATGCGGAGTTATTTCTGAGTGCTCTGTTCTGTTCCATTGATCTATATCTCTGTTTTGGTACCAGTACCATGCTGTTTTGGTTACTGTAGCCTTGTAGTATACTTTGAAGTCAGGTAGTGTGATGCCTCCAGCTTTGTTCTTTTGGCTTAGGATTGACTTGGCGACCCGGGCTCTTTTTTTGGTTCCATATGAACTTTAAAGTAGTTTTTTCCAATTCTGTGAAGGAAGTCATTAGTAGCTTGATGGGGATGGCATTGAATCTGTAAATTACCTTGGGCAGTATGGCCATTTTCACGATATTGATTCTTCCTACCCATGAGCATGGAATGTTCTTCCATTTGTTTGTATCCTCTTTTATTTCCTTGAGCAGTGGTTTGTAGTTCTCCTTGAAGAGGTCCTTCACATCCCTTGTAAGTAGGATTCCTAGGTATTTTATTCTCTTTGAAGCAATTGTGAATGGGAGTTCACTCATGATTTGGCTCTCTGTTTGTCTGTTGTTGGTGTATAAGAATGCTTGTGATTTTTGTACATTGATTTTGTATCCTGAGACTTTGCTGAAGTTGCTTATCAGCTTAAGGAGATTTTGGGCTGAGACCATGGGGTTTTCTAGATATACAATCATGTCATCTGCAAACAGGGACAATTTGACTTCCTCTTTTCCTAAGTGAATACCCTTTATTTTCTTCTCCTGCCTAATTGCCCTGGCCAGAACTTCCAATACTATGTTGAATAGGAGTGGTGAGAGAGGGCATCCCTGTCTTGTGCCCGTTTTCAAAGGGAATGCTTCCAGTTTTTGCCCATTCAGTATGATATTGGCTGTGGGTTTGTCATAGATAGTTCTTATTGTTTTGAAATACGTCCCATCAATACCTAATTTATTGAGAATTTTTAGCATGAAGCGTTGTTGAATTTTGTCAAAAGCCTTTTCTGCATCTATTGAGATAATCATGTGGTTTTTGTCTTTGGTTCTGTTTATATGCTGGATTACATTTATTGATTTGTGTATATTGAACCTGCAGACTTAAATGTCCCTGTCTGACAGCTTTGAAGAGAGCAGTGGTTCTCCTAGCATGCAGCTATAGATCTGAGAACGGGCAGACTGCCTCCTCAAGTGGGTCCCTGACCCCTGACCCCCGAGCAGCCTAACTGGGAGGCACCCCCCAACAGGGGCAGACTGACACCTCACACGGCCGAGTACTCCAACAGACCTGCAGCTGAGGGTCCTGTCTGTTAGAAGGAAAATTAACAAACAGAAAGGACATCCACACCAAAAACCCATTGGTACATCACCATCATCAAAGACCAAAAGTAGATAAAACCACAAAGATGGGGAAAAAACAGAGCACAGAAACTGGAAACTCTAAAAAGCAGAGTGCCTCTCCTCCTCCAAAGGAATGCAGTTCCTCACCAGCAATGGAAGAAAGCTGGATGGAGAATGACTTTGACGAGCTGAGAGAAGAAGGCTTCAGACGATCAAATTACTCCGAGCTACAGAAGGACATTCAAACCAAAGGCAAAGAAGTTGAAAACTTTGAAAAAAATTTAGAAGAATGTATAATTGGAATAACCAATACAGAGAAGTGCTTAAAGGAGCTGATGGAGCTGAAAACCAAGGCTCGAGAACTACGTGAAGAATGCAGAAGCATCAGGAGCCGATGCGATCAACTGGAAGAAAGGGTATCAGTGATGGAAGATGAAATGAATGAAATGAAGCGAGAAGGGAAGTTTAGAGAAAAAAGAATAAAAAGAAATGAGCAAAGCCTCCAAGAAATATGGGACTATGAGAAAAGACCAAATCTACGTCTGATTGATGTACCTGAAAGTGAAGGGGAGAATGGAACCAAGTTGGAAAACACTCTGCAGGATATTATCCAGGAGAACTTTCCCAATCTAGCAAGGCAGGCCAACATTCAGATTCAGGAAATACAGAGAACGCCACAAAGATACTCCTCAAGAAGAGCAACTCCAAGACACATAATTGTTAGATTCACCAAAGTTGAAATGAAGGAAAAAATGTTAAGGGCAGCCAGAGAGAAAGGTCGGGTTACCCTCAAAGGGAAGCCCATCAGACTAACAGCGGATCTCTTGGCAGAAACTCTACAAGCCAGAAGAGAGTGGGGGCCAATATTCAACATTCTTAAAGAAAAGAATTTTAAACCCAGAATTTCATATCCAGCCAAACTAAGCTTCATAAGTGAAGGAGAAATAAGATACTTTACAGACAAGCAAATGCTGAGAGATTTTGTCACCACCAAGCCTGCCCTAAAAGAGATCCTGAAGGAAGCGCTAAACATGGAAAGGAGCAACCAGTACCAGCCACTGCAAAATCATGTCAAAATGTAAAGACCATTGAGACTAGGAAGAAACTGCATCAACTAACGAGCAAAATAACCAGCTAACATCATAATGACAGGATGAAATTCACACATAACAATATTAACTTTAAATGTAAATGGACTAAATGCTCCAATTAGAAGACACAGACTGGCAAATTGGATAAAGAGTCAAGACCCATCAGTGTGATGTATTCAGGAAACCCATCTCACATGCAGAGACACACATAGGCTCAAAATAAAAGGGTGGAGGAAGATATACCAAGCAAATGGAAAACAAAAAAAGGCAAGGGTTGCAATCCTAGTCGCTGATAAAACAGACTTTAAACCAACAAAGCTCAAAAGAGACAAAGAAGGCCATTACATAATGGTAAAGGGATCAATTCAACAAGAGCTAACTATCCTAAATATATATGCACCCAATACAGGAGCACCCAGATTCATAAAGCAAGTCCTGAGTGACCTACAAAGAGACTTAGACTCCCACACATTAATAATGGGAGACTTTAACACCCCACTGTCAACATTAGACAGATCAATGAGACAGAAAGTCAACAAGGATACCCAGGAATTGAACTCAGCTCTGCACCAAGCAGACCTAATAGACATCTACAGAACTCTCCACCCCAAATCAACAGAATATACATTTTTTTCAGCACCACACCACACCTATTCCAAAATTGACCACATACTTGGAAGTAAAGCTCTCCTCAGCAAATGTAAAAGAACAGAAATTATAACAAACTGTCTCTCAGACTACAGTGCAACCAACCTAGAACTCAGGATTAAGAAACTCACTCGAAACCACTCAACTACATGGAAACTGAACAACCTGCTCCTGAATGACTACTGGGTACACAACAAAATGAAGGCAGAAATAAAGATGTTCTTTGAAACCAACGAGAACAAAGACACAACATACCAGAATCTCTGGGACACATTCAAAGCAGTGTGGAGAGGGAAATTTATAGCACTAAATGCCCACAAGAGAAAGCAGGAAAGATCAAAAATTGACACCCTAACATCACAATTAAAAGAACTAGAAAAGCAAGAGCAAACACATTCAAAAGCTAGCAGAAGGCAAGAAATAACTAAAATCAGAGCAGAACTGAAGGAAATAGAGACACAAAAAACCCTTCAAAAAATTAATGAATCCAGGAGCTGGTTTTTTGAAAGGATCAACGAAATTGATAAATCGCTAGGAAGACTAATAAAGAAAAAAAGAGAAGAATCAAATAGACACAATAAAAAATGATAAAGGGGATATCACCACCAATCCCACAGAAATACAAACTACCATCAGAGAATACTACAAACACCTCTATGCAAATAAACTAGAAAATCTAGAAGAAATGGATAAATTCCTTGACACATACACTCTCTCAAGACTAAACCAGGAAGAAGTTGAATCTCTGAATAGACCAATAACAGGCTCTGAAATTGTGGCAATAATGAATAGCTTACCAACCAAAAAGAGTCCAGGACCAGATGGATTCACAGCCGAATTCTACCAGTGGGACAAGGAGGTACTGGTACCATTCCTTCTGAAACTATTCCAATCAACAGAAAAAGAGGGAATCCTCCCTAACTCATTTTATGAGGCCAGCATCATCCTGATACCAAAGCCGGGCAGAGACACAACCAAAAAAGAGAATTTTAGACCAATATCCTTGATGAACATTGATGCAAAAATCCTCAATAAAATACTGGCAAACCGAATCCAGCAGCACATCAAAAAGCTTATCCACCATGATCAAGTGGGCTTCATCTCTGGGATACTATATGCTCTTTTGAAAACATGGAAACACTATTTTGAAATTAGATTTTCCAATGAACAATAGTGTAGCTCTCTCATGTCTAGAAGCATTAATATCAAGTAACTAAAAAACAACATGTTGAAGATTCTAGAAAGATGGCAGCAATTGTATTGTTTGAATGTCTCAGGACTCTTAGTAAGTAGACATGGAAACTAGACAGCCAAAGCAAAATCTCATAGACATTACAGATGTTTACAACAAAAGTAATTGGGAAGTTATCCCTGTGATAGACATATGGCAAAACCCTTCAACATTTATAAGACCTCTCTGGAATCAGTTTTGAGCAGAAAGAAGGAGAGAAAAGAAATGAGAAATATAAAAATATTTTAAATCTGGAAAATCCAAAGTATTCCACAGTTATTCACCGACAATGGGAGGGGTTTTGCCCAATCCAGTGGTTGGTGAATCTGAGGCATCAGAGGCATTGTCTGAATGAGCCAAGGCAGTGCAGTCCCTGTGATTCCACAAAGCTCTTCAGTGAGGGCTGACTCCCAGGACAAGACTTCACATTGAGGAGAAACTCCTGGCATGGCCAAAACTTAAAAAGCGGGAGGATAACAGAGACAAAGGAAAAGACAATCGAGATAACATTAAAGGATGTGGAACAGACGTAGTAAATCTCAGCAAACAAGCTGCTGAATATATATTTTTTTCAAATAACTACAGCAAAACTATAGAAACAGGGGTTATACCAAATTAGGAAAATTACCTGAACCACAGGCCCTTCTAAAAGTTCAGAAAAATAAATTTTACACATGCAAAAATAATTATAAAAGTTGTAGCAAGAATGAAAAGCACAATAATACTCTTACAGAATAGATACTAAAAGACAGGAATATGAAATAAAATAAAACTATGACTTATTATTCTTTTTTTTTTTTTTGAGACAGAGCCTTCTTCTGTTGCCCAGGCTGGAGTGTAGTGGCGCGATCTCGGCTCACTGCAACCTCCGCCTCCCAGGTTCAAGCGATTCTCCTGCCTCAGATTCCCGAGTAGCTGGGACTACAGGCACACACCACCACGCCCGGCTAATTTTTGTATTTTTAGTAGAGAAGAGGTTTCACCGTATTGGCCAGGCCAATCTCGATCTCCTGACCTCGTGATCCACCCACCTCGGCCTCTCAAAGTGCTGGGATTACAGGCGTGAGCCACCCCGCCCGGCCCGTTGACTTATTATTCTAAATGACTTAAATGAATCAGAGATTCTCTAAAACTTTAATAACTTAGAATGATTTGTATTTTCCCACAAATATGTCCATCTTCCTCCTCATCTGTTCTTACTATAGGTAGTAATTAGTCACATCAATTAGCCTGAACTGGATACTGGAGAGCATGATTTTCTTCTTCTTCTTCAACAGCTCTGTATCTCTACTCAGTCACTGAGTTCTGGAAATACTTTCTCCTAAAGATTTATTGAATCTATTTTTTTCCTCGCTTTCTCTACGTTCAAGAACGTATTATCTCTCATGTATATTAGGGTCACGCTCCTCATTTGTATTCTTATTTTATGGTAGTCATCTCCAGTCCTCATGGCAAATTGAATTAATGGAAAATGATATAAAATATAATATAAAAACTAATATTTTTAAAATAATGACTTTAATGACCTTTCATTTTCTCACTATAGTTTGCCTTTTCCATCTCATCTTGCACCATTCCTTTTTATGTATTTTGTAGAATACTTATGTTTCTTTGCATAAGTTACTGTCTTCCACATTCCTATGCCTTTTTATATGTGGTGTCCTTTGTTTAGAGGGCTTCATCCCCTTATCCAGCTGGAAGATTCCAGCTTATACTTCAAGATTCAATTCAAATATCAACCTCTCTAAGATTATTTCCTTGACCTGACAGATAAAAGTTTGACATCTCTTTTCTATCATATTTTATGGCTATTATTTGTTTGCATGCAAGTGTTACCCTCTGTTAGCTCAGAGGACAGCAAATGTTTCTGCCAAGGGCCAGAGAGTAAATATTTGAGGCTCTGTGAGCCATACAGCCTCTGTCACAACCACTCAACTCTGTCACTGTCCTGAGAAAGGAGCCATAAACAGTATGTAAACGAATGGGCATGGTTGTGTTTAGGTAGAACTTTATTTACAACAACAGGGAATCACCTGGCTTTCATCCCTGGGCCATCATTTGCCAACTTCTGAGTTAGCTGACTAAGGTTTACATTTGAAGCTTGCTATAAAACATATATGAAAAAGCATTTGTATTTATTATATTTTAATACACATAGAAGCCTGATCTCCTAAGAAGACCTTGAGTTCCCAAAGGAAACCACTGTCTCAATTGGCTGTTTCTCATCACCAACAGATTCTTGTGTATATTAAAATCAAAAAAGAAAAAAATGAATCCCATGAATTAATTACATATACTATACCAAAAATTATGCATAGTACATTTTATTATAATATTGTGCAGAAAATGTCCCTGAAAAAAATTGGTTAAGAAATGTATATCTTCATTCTCTATGGGCCCTCCCTTATGAACATCATAAGGTAGCTGTTTGGTGCTACATGGTGTTTTACTCAGAGCACGGCATCATCCAATGTGCCTCACAGATGTTTTTAGAGGTTCTTCACTCTTAAGAGTGTTACAGTTTGTTAAAGAACAATGTAAGGACAAAAATGCATAAAAATGGCATTTGTTTTGATGTATATTACTTGAGTTTATAGTAGAATAATTTTACCGTAGATATAGTTCCTTTTTTTCCTAATGATATCTGCACTGTGTGATTTTATGATCACAGTGAGTTATTCTTGGGTCTTGTGTCAACAATAATCTTTCTAGCCTGCAGGTAGTTATAATTATCTTCCTTTATGCTAAAAACTAGGAAAGGAGAGATACAGAAAACATTAAAGCATGTTGTATAAAACCTACCATAACAGATTGCTTTATTTTAAAGATCAGAAACCTTAAAATCTAATGTTGGTCTAATTTAAGTACAATAGAGCAGAAGCCATGAATTCTATATCAATGCAGATTTCCCAAGACCTTCAAAAATGACCTAATAAAGGTTAAGCTAATAAGGCATACCCTTGAAGTTTGCTATTAAGTTGAAATGAGGTAATATTAGTTTACTATTTTTCAATAAATATAAGGTCCCACTGGTATTTTCTCTTCTAAATTTAAATTACCTTTACTCCTAAGGTTTTCAGGAGGGATGTTCAAGTGAAGATGAAGTGGTCTTAGTCATCATAAGTATTTCGAGTCTGTTTGAGGATGTGTGTGCACACACATGTTTTTAGCATATTCATAACAACTTATTTGAAATACATATTTTTTCCAATTGAAATAAGGTTGATAAACTGGCATATTGATTCCAATTGCTGCTGTAAAAAATTACAAAAAGTTTAGCAGTTTAAACAATACAAATTTACTATCCCACATTTCTGGTGGTTAGAAATCAGGTATGCGTCTCACTAGACAAAAATGCAGGTGTCAGCAGGGCTCCTTTCTGGAGGTTTTAAGGAAGAATCTGCTTCTGTGCTCATTCATGTTGTTAGCAGAATTTAGTTCCTTGCACCTACGGGACCAACAACCCTGTTTTCTTGCTGGCTGTCACCTGAGGACCATTCCCAGCTTTTAAAAATAATTTGTAAATTTTTTTTGATATATATCGTGTTTCTTGACTCATGGTTCCATTTCTTCATCTTCAAAGACAGAGAATATGGGTGGAGTCCCTCTCAAGGTACGTCATTAGGTCCTTCTCTGCCTTCCTCTTCTGCCATTAAGAGTGCTTGTGATTACACTGGTCTCACCTGTATAATCTCGCTATTGTAAGGTTAGCTGATTAGATAACTTGATTCTACCTGCATCCTTAATTCCCTTTTGATATATAACATATTCACAGGTCCCAGGGTTAGGACGTGGGCATCTTTGGGAAATCCATATTCAATCTGCCGCATTTTGTAATTCCCAATATCCACAGTAGCCGTGGTCAACCCAACTACTACCTACAAAACTTAGGGCAAAATAATAATAACAACAATATAATGAAATGATCGTATTTTATATTTTAGGTCCATAATTATCATAATAAAGAAGCAAGGAACCAAAAATAAAACAGATACTTATAAAGGGTATTTGATATGGATAGTGCCTGTGTGAGTTGTAGTCAAACAAATTTTATCGCAATTGTATTGATTGAACAATAATTCATTTTTAAATTTAATTTTAAGAGAAAGTAATATTTATAGTGGTAATTTCTAAAACTGTGAGCCCAGATGTGATGGCTCATGCCTATAACCCTGGCACTTTGGGAGGCTGAAGTGGGAGGGTCACTTGAGCCCAGGAGTTTGACACTTGCCTAGCAACATGGCAAGACCCTGTCTCTACTATAATAATAATAATAA
Organism: Homo sapiens; assembly: GCF_000001405.40. NCBI lineage: Eukaryota > Metazoa > Chordata > Mammalia > Primates > Hominidae > Homo > Homo sapiens. Next base: position 145,568,992 of record NC_000007.14, read on the forward strand.
TAATAAAATAATTAAATTGTGAAAACTGCTGAAGTCAAAGAGGTTTTAAGCTGCCTTTTGTGTACTGCAGAATGAAAGTTCTAGTTGTGGTATAAATATGGATCATAAAGATTACTTCTTAGGTAAACATGAAAAGATTTGGCATAACTACCAAAAAAAGTAATATCGAGAAATAAATTCCCAAATTTGCTTGTCCTCTGTACTATCTCAATTCATGTCAGAAGATACAGGATTGATTTTAGTTCTGTCGTTGGCTAGCTCAGATTTTCATCCTTAAAATTAATTTGTAAAATTTTGTATTGATTATATCTTTCCACCAACAGTAAGAAATTTCTGCCATCTCAGTGCTCCAAAATTTCTGTGAAAACATGGATCAATAATATGGTAAATAAATGAGCTTCCTTATCCAAAAAGCTAGTGAACAGAAGTGTTCAGACTTTCAGATTTTGAGGTTTTTTTTTGGATTTTGGAATATTTACATATACATAATGAGATATCTTGAGGATGGGACCCAAGTGTAAACATGAAATTCATTTATATTTCATGTATACCTTATACACATAGCCTGAAGGTAATTTTATACAATATTTACATAATTTCTTTAAAAAAACAGAGTTTTGACTGGGTTTTGACTGTGACTTGTCACATGAGGTCAGGTATAGAGTTTTCCACTTGTGGGGGTGTGTCAGCTTTCTAAAAGTTTCAGAATTTGAAGCAGTGTGGATTTTGTATTTTTGCAATGGAATGCTCAACGTGTATTTTTATTTTGGGCATCAAACTGAAGAAAGATTAATACACTTGAATATGTCCAATGGGAATGAATGATAAAATAAATAGATCTGACAATTTTTTAAAATGTTTAATGAAATTAGAGATGTTTGTCTGGAAAAAAATTATTAAGTGTCACCTAGTGTTTGTTTATATTCCACTGGCTTTTAAAGATAATGTTAGTGTAACTACTATTAAAGTACTTTACTATATCTTAATAACATATTGATATTATTATATTATTAAAATGATGGAAGCTCATTCTCCAAAAAACTGAAGAAGCATGATTTTGGCATTTAGTGATATGCTTAGGAAGACCCTCCACATGCCACAAATATTCACCGAGTCCCTACATTCTACCAGGGTGTTCAAGGGCCATGGAACACAGTGGTGAGCTAACAACGCAACCCAGACAAAAGCAAAAACAGAATAACCAAAGGAAAAATACTTCCTCTCAGAGCTTACCTTCTCATGGTACAAAAGAATGGACAAAATGAATAAGAAAATTGTATAGTACATCTATATTAAAATCTGCTAATTGTTCCTCAATTTTTACTCCAACCTTCTTTCACATAGTGATGGAGACCTCCCTTCAAGTTTTGGAAACATATCTGTCAGTTACAGTTTAGATTTTCCAGCTTCAATGTTACCTATGTGGTTCATGTGCCTAAATTCTTATCAAGGAATTATAAGTGAAATGCGTATGTATGTGTAACTTTTGTGTCCATTACCTCAAGGGAGTCTCTTGAAAGGTTATGCTTCTGGCACTAGCAGACCAGTGGGTTTAGGCCAAACCCTCTCACGATGAGTAATTGGAAGAGCTGGAGAAAGTATAAAATAAAAATAATCTATTTGAAGACATCAGAGGAGTATCAAGGCCAAGATGCTGGATAAAAGAGAACTCCAGAGAGATGAACCTTACATTTGATATCAATATTTACCTCTAAATAATTTGCTATTTACAAACATTAGCAGACTGGCTGAAGAGCAAACTAAAAGTAGTGGGGAGAGGCTGAGTTCTTAACAACTTTACAGGGAAAGAAAATAACAATAGATCACACTCTGTATTCCAAGTTTGTTTGTGTCTATATTTTCTTTCTTTTTGTCACTGTGTACTATGTTCCAAGTTTTTCCCTCCGAACTACTTTCTAATTTCCATATTCTCTTTGAAACTGTGTCTACTTTTCTGTTAGAATACTGCAATAAATATTTGATTTTCATTAATGTGTTTTTCTATTTCTAGATATTCTATTTGGTTCTTTTCTATCCCATAGGTTGCTTTTTACAGTTTTATGTTCCCTAAAGATATTTTCAAGTTTGACTTTCATTTCTTTAAAAATAACAGGCACTATTGACTTACAATTTCTATCAGATGTCTTTGTAGATGCTGTCTGTGACATGTTTCAGCTGGTACCTATTTGCTATACCTTCTGTGCTTGGTAATTATTTTATCTTATTTTAATTTTATTTTAGGCTGCCTATTTGTCTTTGTTAATTACTCAACAGGCCTCTTGAAGCATAAGATGTTGATGACATCCTCCAGAGAAGGAATTTAATGAATTAAGTTTGTTTCCTGTACTAGCTAAATCTTATTCCAACTTTTGTCTTTTTGTGCTGTAATTTTCTCAGTGAGTATGTGTATTAGTCAGTTCTCTCATTGCTATATAGAAATACCTTTGACTGAGTAATTTATACAGAAAAGAGGTTTAATTTCATGGTTCCATAGGTTGTACAGGAAGCATGATGCTGGCATCTGCTTGGCTTCTGGGGAGGCCTCAGGAAACTTACAATCATGGCAGAAGGCAAAGATGGTACAAGTGTCTTACTTGGCAGGAGCAGAACTAAGAAAGTGGAGAGGTGCTACAGTTTTAAACAACCAGATATCACAACAGTTCAGTCACTCACTACCACAAGTACAGCACCTAGAAGATGGCACTAACCCATTTATGAGAACTCCACCCCCATAATCCAATTACCTCCCACCAGGCCGAACCTCCAACACTGCAGATTACAATTGGACATGTAATTTGGTGGAGAAAGATCCAAACCATATCAATATGTTAACATTTTTGACTATGATTGTGATTCTGTTAGCTCTTTGATATATATGTTGAGGTTGTTTGGGTCACCCAGTTACTGGGAATTTAGGTTTCAAATCCTTGCAGGAGGTGCCTTATAAATACATTGTCTCAGGAAAGTTATTTTTCTAGCTTAGCAACAATTCAATTTTCTTTGTAATTATCTAAAGAGAGTTTCCTTTGGATTCAGCATTACAGTAAAGGATTTCTTTAGTTTTTATTTCTGCCCTGCTTGTCTCATAAATCCAACAAACTAAATGTCATTTGTGCATAGTCCAACTTCAAAGTGGCTTCAATGCTCTTCTTATTCCTCAGGGTTCTGACTTTCTCATGGATTTTGACCTGGTATTTCCCTTGTATCCTTTAGGGATTTTGAGGAATTAAAATTTATTTTCAATATTTTATGCAGCATTTAAATTTTTTATTTCTTTAAATAATCTATCAAATTTACCTCCCCAAAATATAAGTCCTCTGCTCCTAACCTTATTACTTATTTCCTGTAAAAGATTTTAGTTCTATGCTTTAAGTTCTTTATTCTATCTTTTTGAATTGCCCTTTTATAAGCTGGTGATGTTGGTTGCTTTTGTTTTTTGAATGAATGCATTTTCTTCAAAGTACCACTTAAGTAGCGTTTCCTAATTTTAAAAGCTTCAGAACATTTTCTACTTAATCCATGGATTGTATTTTTAGATTTCAAACACATTTTTCCTACCAGTCTAATTATTGGTTTCTAACCAATTTCACTGTGAAAAAAAAAAAGAGTAAGTTCTATAGGCAACTAATATTTTTAATGAGTTGTGGCTTATGTCATGACCTATAAAAATGTCAATTTTTAGAAATAGAACAGTCCACTGTTGTGTGCAAAGTTCTCTCTCTGGCTCTCTCTACATGAGATATATATGTTAGTATAGCTTGTTAATTGTGTTTTTCCAATCTGCTATGTATGTTCTATCTGCTTAGACTATCACTTTTGAGAAAGACATGTTAAAATCATCCATTATTATTTCTTAGTACATTTTTCTATGTTTCTGTCAACACTTCTTTTAATGTTAGGAGACCATATTTTGGGGTGTATATACATTCTCAATGATAATATCTTCTACTAGTTTATTTCTTTAATCATCATGTATTGATTATCTTAGCACTTATTTATTCTTACACCTCATGCTGTTTGATGCCTACTTTTCTTAATATCTCCCTATAGAGTCTTCCTGTCTTATTGTCTTTTAAACATATTTATTTTATGGGACATATAGCTAGATTTTTAATGCAATTTATATCTTAGGGTTTTAGCAGATTATTAGCAATTATTACGACTTATTACAAATATTTCAATTAACTTTTATTTTGGCTTTTTCCCTCTTTCTGCAGCAGTTTTTCAATGTGTCATTTTTTTGTTATTAATGTCTTTCTTCCTTTATTCTTTCTTTTTACATTAGAAGTACAATTTAAATTTAAAGTTTCTCTCATTAAATTAACATATGACTTTTTTTTAATTTTAGCAAAGTTTGATGTTTTTAACTTTTTCCCTTTTATTCTTGAGTAGAACTTTCAATTAATGTGTTTTGTTGCCCCTTGTGTTCCGTCACTTACATCACCTATATTATTTGTGCTAAAGTTTAATTCTTAATTTTTAATCATAAAAATAGAAGTATTATTTTTAATGGCCTATAATTAATTAGATTCAACAATATGTTTGCTAATTCTCCTGGGTTTAATTTTTTTCTTGGCAAAGTGTGTTTGTTCCCAATAGTTCTTTCTCAGAAAGTTTTTAGGTGGTAAAATGTTTTAACACATTTAAATAATAATGTTGTTATTTTATTCCAGTGTTATTCATTGAAAAATATTTTATTTGGCTATATCAGTCCAGATTGACAAATATTTTCCCTCAGCACTTGTGAGGCACGACATCATCTTCTTGCATGTATTTTTGCTGCTGAATACATCATTAGCTTCATTATCACTCCCTTGTAAGATAGCTGTCCTTCTGCATAGCCGTTAGATATTTGTTTCCTTAATTTTTCCCAATATAGTATTATAAACAATTTCAAATTCATGGCAAAGTTGACACAATGTGAGCCAGTGAATACTTGTGTTACTACCACATATTATGCTATATCTGCTTCATTTCTCTCTCATACACACACACATACACACACACACACACACACACACGCACGTGCACACACACACACGTATTCCAATATCTATTTTCTTTGGATGACTTGCAAACTTAATCTTAGATTTGATTTAATTAAAAAGTATCGCTATTCATGGCCGGCCACAGTGGCTCACGCCTCCCAGCACTTCTGGTGGCCGAGGCAGGCAGATCACGCGGTCAAGAGATCGAGACCATCCTGGCCAACATGGTGAAAACCCATCTCTACTAAAAATACAAAAAAATTAGCTGGGCGTAGTGGCGCATGCCTGTAGTCCCAGCTACCCGGGAGGCTGAGGCAGGAGAATCGCTTGAACCTGGGAGGCAGAGGTTGCTGTGAGCCGAGATCACACCACTTCACTCCAGCCTGGTGACAGAGCGAGACTCCATCTCAAAAAAAAAAAAAAAAAAAAAAAAGATCGCTATTCATAATTACATTCATAATTAACAGTCTTTTTAAGGTATGATAGTAACGTAATGAACTGTGTATTTTAAGTGTAGAATTTAATAAGTTTTGGCTAAATTCATCATTACAATCAAGATAATGAATGTAATCATCAAAAAAAGGCATCCCTTGTCTCTGCACAACACATCCCTCAACCCTCCTTCACCAAGCAAACAATTATCTGTTTTCTTACACTACCATTTCCAAAGTGTTAGTTTACATTTCCAAAAATTTTATTTTATGATTTATACAATATGTCTTCTTTCCATCTGGCTTTTCTCACTGAGTGTAATTTTTTTAGATTAGCTTATATTGCAGTGTATATCAATAATTCATTATGTTTTTATTGCTGAGTAATATTTCATTATATGGATACACTACAGTTTACTTATCCATTCATATGTTCATGGGTGTTTGGGTGCTTTCCAATTGTTGGCTATTGCAAATAAAGGTGCTCTGAGTAGTTTTTGTGCTAGGCTTTGCATGGACATATGCTTTCCTTCTTTGGGGTGAATATGTAGTAATGCAATGATTATTTTACCTGGTGGTGTGTATTTAAATTTTCAAGGAACTGTCGAATTGTTTTCCAAACTATTTGTAGATATTGCAATGCAAGATAATTCCATGTATACATGTTGTTCCCAATGCTTGTATTTTTAACGTTGATCATTCTAATAGGTGTGTCCTGGCACCACTGATTTCTATTAATGACTAATGATGTCGAGTATTCTTTCATGTGCTTAGTTGTCTGTAAAACTTCCATGGTTAATTGCCAAATAACATTTTTGCTCATTTTTAATTGGATTGTTCTGTTACTATTGAGTTTTGAGAATGTGTATTCTGGATTCAATTTCTCTATTAGATGTAAGATCTGCAAACATTTTCTTCCCGTCTGGGATAAAAGGTATAGGATATCTACACAGCACACCCCAATGAGATGCTCAAATGTTCTTTTTTCCAATGATAAAAGTAAAGTAGTTACTTAAGTTTGTTTACTCATTTTCTGGGGAAACAAAAGACTGAGGCTTGTGCTCTGTTAAGATGCATTTTTGAAATTTTGTAATTCTATGGAACTCAATATTTATACTAAAATTTAATATATCTTATATGTTTGTAATGTAATGCTTTTTTACAAGTCATGTAAGAAAAATAAGAGATTCTCATCTTTCCAGTGTTACACACAAAAATAGAGCAGAAAATACTTTCAATATCTGCAGTTAAACACATCAACATGAATGGGATAATCTAGCAGAGGCCATTATTTAGATACTTAATATTTGATTGAGACAATTTAGTTATTAAAATCATTTTTACTTACTTGTAATGGTATAAAAGTACATTATGGCTATATTAAGATTGTAATATCAGGCATATAAAGACAAGGAAATTGAACAATCTACATTTCTTTCAGCAATGTTATCATAGCCACTCAAGTTTTAAAATATGTATTTATTATCAAATAATCAATCTTATTGAAAGTAAATTAATCACTAATTAAAATAAGTGAGGATCACGTCTTATACAGAAGTTGATCAACCTTTTATTGTAAGAATTCTTTCTGTTTGGTTGAAATATTCCATCTTAATATTTAATTGAGGGTACAAACCTTTACAATTGTCCTTTCTGCATCATACAAGATATTCAAAATGATTGAGGACAGGTTGAGCCAACGGGTAGGAACATTGCCTCTGACCTTGAGTAACTGCTTAAATCCAAATGGTAAATTTGTTGTGGTTGCTAATAATAAAATCTGCCTTAGTCTTCCTCTATACTCTGTCATTTTTATAGTCTCAGTGGACAATATTTTTTCAAGTACTTTACTAATCCACAGAATTCCTGAATTCTGCTCACTGTTTATACCTAAAGATATTTTCTCTGTTCTTCCCTCTTGACTGATGTCCTTCCATTTTACATTCATTAAGATTGTTCTCTGTACAATGTGCTTGCATTTTCTGAAGAGGAAACTCATTACCTGCTTAACAGTTATTTTTAAAAAAGCAGGGTTAATACAAGTATTGAATTCCAATTTGTTCTTTTTTTGTAGGAATCATGCTATTGAGGAAATCGAAGACTCTCCCTTGTCAGATAATAACATGAGTCTAAAATTAAAAGACATTTAATGCCTATAAGGTCTCATTGTATTTCTCTTACTGCATCTCCAACAATTGTTTTCATATTGATATCAATATTAATTTATTCACTGATACATAAAATATTGTGCTTTCCTGTTCCTCGCCATCCCACTCCTTTTACTTGGCATTATTTAATACTTACATCCACTCTCACTAGTCTTTCATCTCCATTTTCTTTTCTCTTCAGTTTGATGTTTATATTTGTTTACACATTTAAAGTACCTATTTAAAATTCTCAATGATATAATAAAATTTTGATTTCTTGCTCCCTTCTGAATATATTGAATCTTTATTATCTAAATGAATCAATAAAATCCAGATCTTACCCTTCACCCCTTCTTTTTAACCTATTTGTTATTTAATATTCTAAATATTTTTAAGATATTAAAAAATAAAATTCATTTACTATTTACTTATATCTGAAAACCACAGTCTGCTGTGTTCTCTTCCAATTGATTCCAATAGCTGAAAACCACTGTCTGCCTTATTATAATGATGTAGATATTTTTCTTTGAAAAGTCAAGCAGTGGGCTGACATTACAGCTTTTCCTATGTGGGGTCACAACTCCTGTGACACTCAGGGAAGAACACATTGGCAATGTCAAACAGATCCTCTTTCATTGCACATCATCAGTAGTTTCATAACATGGCACACTTCTATTTTTCTTATATTCATACATTAGTTTCTTGAAGATATTTGTTGGTTTTGTTTTTCTTAGTGTTTCTAATTCTATTATTTTCATTGTTGAAAGAAGAAACATATGCCCTCTTCAACAGATTCCTTCAATATTCCAGCACATGAAAGACTTTATCTCTTGAATAGAATCTACTCCATTTTTCTATTGACATTTTCCTTACTGCTCAGGAATTTCTTATTCACATTTGTCCTGATTATTACTAGGCTATCTAGAAAGTTATTATTTTAAAATTTATTTACTTTGGACTCCTTACTTAAATCTGAAACAGAATAGTTCCTTTACCCCTTTGTGAGTCCTGTGAAGGGGTTGGCTTGTTTACTCAGCCCACAGCTCTCAACCCCTCATGGGAGTGGGAGCAAGCAAGTGAGTGTCTAGGAGTTGCCAGCAACCCCCGGAGCCCCGGAGGTTGTGTGTTACATGCTGCTTTTTTAGTTTTGCCATCCATGGATGGCTGAAGTATTAGCCCAGTGGAAGGTCAGTGTGACAGCCTCCTTCACCTGCATCTGGGACCTTGTCTGGCTTCCAGGAGGAATCAGGTCACAGGAACAAATTGAAGGTGGTAAATGTATAGGATTTTATTACCAATGAAAGTGGCTCTCAAGGGGATGGGGAGCTGGAAAGGAGTTGGAGCGGGAAGGTGGTCTTCCCCTGGAGTCTGGCCATTTTCAGCTGAACTCTTCTCCAAGGTTTCATAGTCAAGCCATCCCTTCGAAATCAAGCTGCTTCTTCTCTTCTCTCCTTCTCTGCCACTCTCCTGCTAGTGGAGTCTGGGGTTTTTATGGTTACAGGATGCAGGGCAGGGCAGGCCAGGGTGGTCTTGGAAAAGGCAAAATGCGAGCAAAAAAGCAGGAATGCATGTTCTTACTTTGGGCCCCGGGTCCAGGCTTGAGGGTGGAGCCCTTGCCAGGGACCCTGCCCTTTTCTACCCAGTATTTCCCTGCCTCCTGTCTGTATCAAATCCATCATTTTTAAAAATTCCACGCCTACATCTTGTGATTGTTAATTTTGTTTTGTGTAAACAGATCGTCATGTAACCTTCTCCAAAATGGTATGTGAGAGGTACATTTTCTGATTTCTTGAGCTTCTCAAAACTGCTTTATTTTGCTATTTCTATTGATGGATTTCTTGGCTGGACATATAATTCTAAGTTGAAAATATTACTGCCTCAGAATTTTGAAGTAATTGTTACATTTTTTTAGTACCAAAGTTGAAGATCTAAAAAAATCTGCTGCATTTATGACATCTATTGATTAATATTTTTTCTTAGTATTCTCTGGATGCTTTTGAAATGTTCTTTTTATACATGGTGTACTTGAAATTCCCCAATGATGTCAGTGATATGCCTTTGAATTATTATTTGTATATTGAGCTCAGCAATCAGTGGGTCCTGTTATATCTACAGCTAGGCACCAATCTTCATCCCTGGAAGGTTGTTTCAGATTATTTATTTGATAGTATCTCTTTTTTTTTTCTTAATGTTTCCCTTTTGAAATTCCTTTTGATTAGATATTGAGCAATCTGGACCTACTCTTCACCAATTCATTTTCTTTTGTAGGTTTTCTCTTTTTTATGTTTTCAGGTGTATGTTCCAGAAGAAGACCTCAAACTTTCTTTTAATCTTCCTGTAGATTTTCATTTTTAATTTGTTAACATAGTTTTAATTTCTAAAGTTCTATTTTTTCTGAGAGCTATTTTTTTTATTCAGTCCTGTTCGTGACTCTTGTTTTATAAGAGGCATCATCTAGAAGGCTTCTGAAGACATTTTGTGTTTTAAGATTGTCTTCTGTCTGTGAATGATCTCTCTTTTTTCTTGGGGCCACATTTTTTTTGTAATTGACCTTTTTTCTCCTTTCATACTGCTATTTTGCTTTATGTCTAGCAATCTGTGGTTTTCCATTCAAATTAAGAAATAAAGGATTAGATTACTTGAGTTGTTTGTCACATATCTCTTAAGTTGTTGGGTATTAAGGCTAAAATTTTCCATTAATATTTTTTTCTTGAATAAGGACATTCAATAGGGTAGTACAGAAGCAGAGCTTGTTAATTGGCAAACTCTCTTTCATACTCAAAAGGTATAAACTGTCTTTAAAATGGAAGGCCCCACAGTTTCAGAATTAGAAGCACTTTACTTTGGAATAATAACACACATTCAAGCAAGGCTAATTCTTATCTGAAATGTTCTTTATAATTGTTTTGAGATGGACTTACAATTCAATCAAGTTCCTGTCCCCCACCCTCATAACTCTCTCTTTATGGTCATGGAAAATGATGTCTCTTTGTATTTTGTCACATTTTCAGTCCTATTATTATATCTGCTCATTCCAAGGAGAAAAATTTTCTGAGTTTAAGCTATCCAGTTCAGGCTACCTTATTTTTGCATCTGTCATCTGCTGTATTAGAATTTGAGAAATATGTTCTCTTTTAATTTTATCATATGATTTCATCTTTTACTTTTATAAAATTTATAGAATTCCCCTAATATGTGTGCCCTCCACCCACTTATTTTACAGTTATGGGTTTATCCCCATTTTAATCATTTATTATTTCTATAGTGCCTTGAAGATAAAATCTAGACTAACACATTTGCTTAGTCTGCCATATTTCTATGTAAGTATAAAGTGTATATTATTCCTAATTATGAATTGTTATGAATAAGAACTTGAAAGCTGTTTATCAAAATAATTGAAACTGTAAATGTGAAACTTGCAATTTTATTTTAGCAATTTATACTAGATGTTAAAATTTTATTCATATATATATAGTTACATAGATGTTCAATGGAGGGTTATTATAAAAGTTACATCAGTAAAAAAGATTTAACAAAGGGAGATTATGTCATTAAAATATGGCACATATAATTTTAAGCTACAGAACTTATTTTTATAGTTGTACTCAATATTCATGCAGTAATTTTCAGTTCTTTCTACTTTATCATAAATATTATTTTTATAACTGTTTGATTACATTTACATTTCTTATTATTTTGGTTTAGATTTAAATTGTAGTTATTAACATAAGAATTTAAGAGAGTGTAACCGAACAAATAAAATACAAGTATGGCTGGCTATAATAAATTTAAATATGCAAAGTTCATCTTATAGAGACAGAGAGGATAGATACTAGCAGGAGTGTGAGATACACTGATTTATAAAATGATGATGAAAGTTTGGTTCAACAACAAATAGAAGGTTAGACAAAAAAGGATAACCTTTTGCATGAAATGAAACTTAAGCAGAAATCTATCATGTGATTAATATTCAAAAATGTACTATTGTATATATAATTTAACCTGATATGACATAAGTCTTAGAATAATTGATTTAAAAGTAATGCACTAAAAAACAAACAAAAAAGAAAGAAAACAAACAAACAAAAACACTATGCTTCTAAAGAGCTCTTATATTGACCCCATTTGGGGCAATAGTTTACAGTTCATCAAAGGAATGTCTTCAATACACTACAATGATGCCCTATTTTGTTTTTGGAGAAACTTGTATTTCTTTGAGTGGGGTCTCACACATTGTGCTATTTTTCTCAAAATCGAACACTGTGTCAAGGGTTTCCGTGTTTGGAAAATTTTTCTGGCTCAACACAATGCTCTGCCGGACCCTGACTTCTCTCATGGTTTTGTAAGCCCGGTTTCTAAATCCAGAGCCGCAAGCCTAGATTTCTCCATTCTCTGTGGATGAGTTTTCATGTGATATACTTGGGTTTCTTTTTGTGCTGATGGGCCTTAAATTGAAAGCACTCTAGTCTCCTCTACTTTCTTTAGCTTAGTATGTCACAAATGAGAAGCGGAAGACTACGCCTCTTGGATTCCTTAAGTCTCCAGTTTCCTTGTAAAACTTGATTCAGTACTTCTCCAGAGCTCAGTAAGAGGAAAACTTTTGATGTGTTGCCATTTCAGGATTTTGAGGTGAATTCCATGTAGTCTTTAATTGAGCCAGAATATGAAAAAGATGAAGAACTAAAAATTATGTTTTCAGATATTCACTGCTTGTGGAAATTTTATTTCTTATATAATATGTGATTTCTGTATTTGTCAATTTGGGCTATTATAACAATGTATTACACACCAGGTGGCTTACAAACAGCAGGAATTTCTAACAGTTTTAGAGGCTTGGAAGTCTGAGATCAGGGTTCCAGTATGGTCAGGTTTTGGTGAGATCCCACTTCCAGTTTGCAAACTGTCAACTTTTTCTTGTATCCTCATATGGCAGAATGAGAGCAAGCTAGCTCTCTGGCCTCTTCGTTTAAGGACACCAATCCTGTTTGTGACTAATCTGCCCCCAAAAGCCCCACCTTCAAATACCATCCCATTGGGGATGATATTTCAACATTTAAATTTGTAGGGGACACATACATTCAGTCCATAACAAGATATTATTTATTACGGGGGATATATCTCATGTATTATGTATGAGATAGATATATAATGTGATATTTCCCATCCAATTTTTTATTGGAATGATTACATATACAAGCAAGATTAAATATTAGCCAAAAAAGAAAGAAATGGGCCCCAGATAAAGTAAATCCAATAGAAACAACTTGTAAAGCTGTGTATAAAAAATATTAAAAGAATAATAAAATAAAAATCATTATTAATTTTCACAAAGTTGCTACACAAGGACAATGTAAAACAACGAATTGAATTTCTACATACCATCACGTTAATAAATAAAAGCTGTAAAAGTTTATAATAATCACAGTTATAGCAAATATCTAGAAGTGGTGCTAAATTTATATATGTCTTCATAAAAAATTATGAAACAAATTGAGATAATTTAAAGGACTAAGTAAATGGACAAAATAGGTTACAATCATAGATTTGAAGACAGTAATTTAAAGATGGAAATTCTCCTTAAACTTCTTCTTAAATTAAATACAAATTCAATCAAAATTGTCCCAACAATGTATTTCTATGTATTTTGGTATTTTAAAAATTTGTAAGTGTATTCTATATTTTAAGTGGAAATGCAAGTGGCTAACAATAGCCAAGCAGTCTTTTAGGTGGGAAGCCTTGCTCTATTCATAATGAAGCTACACTAAGACAATGTGGGAATAGTACAAGTACATAATAAAGAGCCTCCAGACAGAGCCTAATATATATAAACACTTGATTTATACATAAACATAGCCCAGAGTAACTGTAGATGAAGGTTTGGGGGAAAAATAGAACTTGTACCATATGTCAAACCTACACAAAATTTCATGTCAATTTCATGTCGATATATCTAACTGTGGAAATTGAAATAATAGATAATCTAGAAGATTATGTAGAAATTAACCTCATTATCCTGGGTTAGGCAAAATTTCTTAAGGTGTTTTTAACCTAATGTTTCTCAAAGTTATTTAACTAGAAACTGTGCGTGTGTGTGTACGTGTGTTTAAGACATTAATATATTGGGAAAATCTCTTTTCTCTGAAGCCCTTTGGGAGAAGCTACCTTGAGCTCTCTGTTTCATTATCAAATTAGCACAGGACAATCACCAGAATTAAGGCCCGTGATTATCAGCTGAAAAACTTTACAAGAACAGTTCAGGGTATAAAGCCTCACCCCGGTCTGGTAAAAAAAAAAAAAAACATCAAAGCAGGAAACTACCATTTTCCACAAGAAGATCATAAGAGAATGTATTTTGGCTGTGTGTCAAGATCGAGTTCCAGTGTAACAAGGTTAGCTGCACTCAGGTAAGTATATACGGAGCAACTTATGTCATCAAGAAACATTAACCAGGGAATTGCATAAAATTTCGTTTAGCTTTTGTGTAAGATTTTTATTACTAGGAAAACAATGATTAAAAGGTATGTTTGCGGCGGCGGCCGGGAGCGGACCCGGAGAGGCTGAGGGGTTCGGAGATTCAGAGGGAGGGAGACTCCTGCCTCGATGCAGCTGGAGGTATGTCCTGGCCTCCGCGGAGACCAGGGCAGAGGAAGAAAGATCAACTGCAGAGCTGCGCCAAAGAAAAAAGGCCAAAGTCTTCAGAAAATAAGGAATCCGCTAAAGAAGAGAACAATCAATGACATTCCAATTCCTGAAAGAGCTCCAAAACGAGCTTGAACGGGGAATCACGTTTCAGGGTGACAGTGCCATTTATTAGACCTATCATAAAGATATGTTAAAGGCACCTTCATTTGAAAGAGGTGTTTATGAACTGGCACACAATAACAAAACTGTATCTCCAAAGACTATACATGCAGTGCAGCAAATATCTGTATATCCAGAACTTATTGCCAGTGTTTTATGTCAAGCCACTGGTAGCAACGAGATTATTGAGCCAGTGTATTTCTATATTGGCGCTGTTTTTGGATTCCAAAGAATATGTTACCGCATTATTTGTTACAAGTTGGCTTATGAGTGGAACATGGCTAACAGGAATGCTTACTGTTGCATGCCTCATTTTTAACAGGGTAGATACAACAAGAATAGAATACCCCATTCCTTTAAGAGAAAACTGGGCACTACCATATTTTGCATGCCAAGTTGCTGCCCCTACAGGCTATTTAAAAAGCAACTGAAATACTTATGGAGAGGAGTTTTGCTACTTGTTGATAAGTGCTTCAACTTACATATTTATGATGATGTGGGGTACGGCCGCTATCTCCTGTTTCTTCAAGCAGTCTCTCTATTCCTGCTCGATATCTTGCCGCTGGAGCAAAGTGACAAGGTTTATGAAGTTTACAAAATCTACATATTTTCTCTCTTTCTGGGATATTTACTGCAGTTTGGGAATCCAGCTGTACTGGTGTTTCCTTTGTTAAGTTTACTAGCAGCCTTAATGATTGCTAAGTGCCTTCAGCTGAATGCGAAGAAAGAAACTTTTGTAGCTAAAACAATGAAAGTGATTAATTTTTACTTGGTGCGTACTCTGACAGTGACATTGAATATTATAATGAAGATGTTTGTCCAGCACAAAGAAAATGGGCGCATGCTCAAATTCCTTGAAGTAAAATTTGGACTAAATATGACTAAGAATTTTACAGTTATTTAGCTCCTCTGTCAAGATTCCCTGCAGGCACCTTCTCAAGACGTTTTTTTTTTTTTTGTTTTGTTTTTTTTTTGCAATTGACAATCTTCTTTATTACATTTCTATATTCCAGTGTTAATTATTTGTTTTCTTTCTATACTGCAAGTTATTTTTAGGAGGATTAATACTAAATTCCTGACAGAAACTGTTATTCTTCATGACGGATGAATTGGAGAAAGGCCAGAAATAATTTATCATGTAACTCACACTATTTTATTGGATTCTCTTGTGATGGTTATAGAAGGCTTGAAGTACATCTGGATTCCTTATGTGTTCATGTTAGCAGCATTTGGTGTATGTTTTCCTTAACTTTGTATGACACTTTTCAAGTGGTTTCAATTAAGAACCATATACCCAATATTGTTGGTGGTTTGCAAAGAAGGTGACAGGCTAACCTACTCAAAATATGGGTGATTTTGTCATGAAGTCAAAATTAACTTTC
Source organism: Homo sapiens (assembly GCF_000001405.40). Lineage (NCBI taxonomy): Eukaryota > Metazoa > Chordata > Mammalia > Primates > Hominidae > Homo > Homo sapiens. The sequence continues at coordinate 145,584,741 of NC_000007.14, forward strand.
TCCATATGTGAATTATTTCACTAGAGCTTACTGGATCAGATCCTACTTTGTATATAAAATCAACCCTGTGGTATCCTTCCAATTTTGAAAAATAACAGAGCTTTCATTTCAAAGACTACCTGAAGTAAAATGCAGTTTTCTCCACCTACTCAGTGTCTTTTGCAGGTTAGAGTATGGACATTTGAAATATTGCTGCTTCTTTCCCCCTCCTGCTCTTAACTGGATCCAGAGTTCTGTGGGAAATAGAAGATCAAGGATTACTGTCCTTTGATAAAATGTGATATCTACCATTCTGCAATATTCCAAACAAGTGTCTTCCTTCCTACTGAGAGGTGAAGCCAGCTAGACTTCCTGGGTCAAGTGGGGACTGGGAGAACTTTTCTGTCTAGCTAAAGGATTGTAAACACACCAATCAGCACTGTGTGAAAACGCACCAATCAGCACTCTGTGTCTAGCTAAAGGATTGTAAATGCACCAATCACCACTCCGTGTCTAGCTAAAGGATTGTAAACGCACCAATCAGTACTCTGTAAAAATGCAGCAATCAGTGCTCTGTGTCTAGTTAAAGGATTGTAAATGCACCAATCCGCACTCTGTAAAATGGACCAATCAGCAGGATGTGGGCGGGGACAAATAAGGGAATAAAAGCTGGCCACCCCAGCCAGCAGTGGCAACCCGCTCGAGTCCCCTTCCACGCTGTAGAAGCTTTGTTCTTTCGCTCTTCACAATAAATCTTGCTGCTGCTCACTCTTTGGGTCCCTGCCACCTTTAAGAGCTGTAAACACTCACCACAAAGGTCCGTGGCTTCATTCCTGAAGTCAGCAAGACCAAGAACCCACCGGAAGGAAACAACTCTGTACACACTACTACATGGTCTTTCGTGCTTTTACTGATTGCACTATTTTCCCTGTAAAATCTTCATTCCATTATAATATTGATCTTTAATTTGAATATGTTCAAGGTCAGAATGTATTTCTCAAACATAACATTTAACAAATATGTAATGTGACATAATTCTTTACTAGAAGGAATTATTCCTACCTTTAAACAAGTTTCTGAAAGTGTTTCATGATTTATAACAGCTGAAGTTTTACAATAAAAAACGAATTTAAATGTTAGCTGAAAATATGTGAGATTTAAATTAAAATAGAAATTATATAAAGGTAAGTGATTTTTAAGGATATACATAAAGATATATCCAGAATTTTCATGATAATGTTCTCATCATCTGCTGCTTATATAAGTGAACACTTTCTTAGTAATACAAAGTGCACAATATTATTGCATTTTATATTTTATGACTGTCTAGTGATTAGTTTTTTCACTTATGCCTATTACTTTGATATCAATTTGATAATGATAAAACAATAACTGTTATCTATATTTTTAAATGGACATTTAAAAGAGTGTTGTTCAGGTTTTTAGAAAAATATTGATATTGGGTATACAATTTATTCATGTTTTCTACTGAAGTATTAAGTAAAACATTAAATCTTTATCAGAATAAAAATATGTGCTCTAAAATGAGCAACAATTTCTGGAGATAGAGGCAGATGCTGTTAAACATACCTCTGCATACAGATGTATTTATTATAAAACATGAGTGATGTTGTTTATGAAACTGATGCAGTCTTCAACATTAAGAAAAAATGACGATTATAATAAAATTTACAACATGGTTTCACAGTCTAAATTCTATGTTCCTTTAAGTTAAATATTTTTGTATTTTTAATCATCTATTAAGAGAAACTTTAAAATACTTAATCTGGCCTTATAAAGAGATTCAGGATAGATGTAGCCTATGGATGTGTCATTTTAATAAATTGGGATACATGTTTAGTTTTTCTTTGTGCTCCTGCTCAGTGAACAGATTTTCAAAATTTTCACTTGTTAGAGTGCTGCAAAAATTACATTTTCAGTACTTTATTACCTTAGAAGGGAGCATTTCTTTATTGTCTTTATTTTCTGTTATACATGTATTAAAGTACATGCATTCTTAGATGAACTCTAGGATGCTTTGCTCTTTTGGAACTTAATTGTTTGGGCCAGGTGCGTTGGCTCACACCTGTAATCCCAGCACTTTGGGAGGCCAAGGCGGGAAGATCACAAGGTCAGGAGTTCGAGACCAGCCCGGCCAACATGGCGAGACCCCCGTCTCTACTAAAAAAAATTAGCTGGGTATGGTGGCGGGTGCCTGTAGTCCCAGCTACTTGGGAGGCTGAGGCAGGAGAATCGCTTGTACATGCGAGGTGAAGATTGCAGTGAGCTAAGATCACGCCATTGCACTCCACCCTGGGCAACAGGATGAGACTGTCTCAAATAAAAGAAGAAAGAGAGAGAGAGAGAGAGAGAGAGGGAGGGAGGGAGGGAGGGAGAGAGAGAGAGAAGGAAGGAAGGAAGTAAAGGAAGGAAGGAAGGAAGGAGAAAGAAAGAAAGAGAAAGAAAGAATTGTTTGATGGTGATCTCATATATCTGACAGATTAGTTTCAGTCTTTCTCTTTTCACTCTTAGACACAATTTTTTAAACTATATTAGGATAGTTGCAGACGATGTGCTTCAGGTTGACTCTGTACATCTGAGCCGTGGGTCACTAGTATTTCACATCAAGCCTCTTGAAAATATTACCATAGTTATCTAAGCACCTAGTGAATAGTCACATGGTAGTACTTGTGATTAGAGGATGTAAAACAATGTAATTTAAAAGTCATCTTCCATATATTGAAGGGGAAATAGAACACGCTACTTTTTATTTAGTGTGAAATGTTTAATTGAATTTTTATTGACTTATATAATGTAAATGTGCTGAGTTAGGTTTGGTGGTTGTTTTTTTTTTGACATATTCATAAGCTGCTTTTACTTCTTTCTGTCGACTTGTTTCTTAAATAAAATCGATCTGAAAAAATGTTAAAAATAAGATATATTTGCATAATTTATGCATATGTTATTAAAAATATTCTAGGATTAAAGTAGTCCCTGTTCACCTTTCTAACAGGAACAACACAGCAAAGGTTGCGGCCTAAGCATTAGACATAGAGCACCACACCCAAATGGCTCAGGCCAGAGGCTAGAGATAACTAAGAGGCATCTTTCCTGCCTAGCCGACTGGGCTCCCTGAAGGAACCATTCAGACTTGCCCACAAACTTAAAGTGACCCGTTCACTATTCTGATACATACTGCAAGTTTTCTCTCTCTGCCTATCCCTGTCCCCCTCCCTCTCCCTCTCTCTACCTAACTCCTCTTTCCTTCCTCATGTGATCCAAGGTTGGAGGACTGCCCACCCAACTCACTGCATTCTCCATGCCAAGGACCTGTAAATAATAAATCTTTGAACCTGATTCCTGACATGGTGGTGTCTTGAATTTGTGCTTTCCATCTGCGGAACCAGGGGCTACCCTAGCCTCTGTTTTCCCTGCTGTGCTAGGGGTGACACAAGATTGGGCTTCCAGCACCAGAGCTGTGGTCAGATATGAGCCACAAGGGGTCTTCTGGTATAAGCAAGTTTCTCATGTGAAGGACCGCCTGGTCACTGGTTGGGCAGCTAGGCATTAGGCCATCCACCAGGTAAAGGAAGCATCCTGTGAAAGACACTCTGTAAACACCCACACCCAGCAATTATTCATAGCAGAATTGCTAGCCATTTCGTACTAAAAGCTCAGTTTAGCTGGGGTCTCTCAAAGCAATCCTATTTAAAATAGATGACATGAAAGGCATTTTCGTACCAGCCTCTATATCTAGATCCATCCCTTATTTTTTCTAAAATATTCTTAACCGTTCTAAGCCTCACATATCTACTTTATAAACTGAGGATAATGTTAACTGCCTTTAATTAAATGATAGAGATGTGGATTGTCTTATTGAAGCTATATCCTTTAAATAAACATTACATGGTAACAAAGGAACACAACAGCCAGAGTCATGACTTAAATTTGCAAGCACAATGGGCATTCCCTCTATAGAGAGGCTGGCACATGAAACAATCTCTCATGGATCCCATTCAAGGAGAAGTAGCCAATCTTACATGGCACAAATTGTTCATTTGATGCAGGTGCTGAAACGTTCAACTGACTAGAGGATTCTAGAAGTCATGTGACACAGACAGACTTCTCATGGGGAAGGAGTGGTTCATCTCCACTGGGGCTAATGAGAGGATTAGCCTGTGTGTTTCTCAGTCATCACCCAGTCATGGGGTTCCAGGGGTGCATGCTTCCCATTTATGTAATACCCAATTTCCTACATTGGGCCTCTTCCATCCCCAGATTACATGTGATTCATCTGTGTTCCCTTCAATTTCTCCTGCTGTTCATTTGATCACATTTTAATATAACACACTTGAAGGGTAGATATAGTTATCATAATATGCTTGAAAGATAAAACATTCTCGTGGATTTTATTATTTGCTTTGATGTTAATAATTGTTAGAACTTTTATAAGTATGTGAATATTCCTAAAATAATGCATACTAAAATTATAATAACAGCCAAATTCTTTAGCATTTATTATGTGCCAAATATTGTGCTAAGTGCTTTACATGTATAATCTCACTGAATCCAATTCTGGGTAGCGTTACAATCATCCTTATTCAATAATGAAAATATGAAGCCAATAGAAATTGAATATGCTACCCAGAGTCGCACAACTATTAAATAAAGCCAGGCTTTAAACTAAGATTTGTCAAAATCTAAATTTCAAAATTGTGCTGGACCATTAGATCATGCAGTAACCTGTATACCACACAGTGAGAAATGGGCTTTCCAAAACCATGAGGTAAAATCAGTATGTGCGAGACATTTACTTTAGAAAACCACAAACTGTTATTCATATGATGCCATCATATCATTAATTTTCTAGAAAAAAATCAATTTCAAATTCGTATTCAAATTCTATTTCAAAACAGTTGTAGAGTGTACCAATAAAACAATATAACCAATAAAAAAATAAAAAGTTTGGGTCATAATCTCAGTTATTTGTCACTATATGAATTTGGACAGCTTGATGAATCTATTATATTTTTAAAATGTTGCAAGGTTTTTGAAATGTTATGCATAGAATTTGAAGTTTGTATATACAAGTATCTCTTACTTTAATATTAAAGGCATATTGGTTAATAATAATATTGCCTGAGATTGTAAGTGTTGCTTTAAATAAATACAGGGTATGAAAGTTGTTAACAATACTTAATAAAGGATTAAATTACATGCTATACTTTAGAAAGCTGCTACTATATTTATGACTTCTATGAAGGTCACTCCATGTTTAGCAGCACCGTTTCACCTGACAAGGAAGGTTCTGCCTTAGGCTCACTGAGAACTGCCTACTACTGTTGTCAATTTAACGAAATCTCACTTATTATGCTTTCAAGAAAGCTTATATTTTGTATAGTAAAGAGATTAAACTATAGATAGATAATAGATCATAATTTTAATAGAATCTATTTTAAGAACATGATATAAGAATGTATGCTTAAAATCTCTCATGTTCATATCTATGTAATTCAAATAAATTAACAAAGCATGCATATGTCAATATTCTTATTAAGTTACAATCTTCTTGCTATTAGAAGTCGATTTTGTATTAATGCTTGCAAGGCAAATTTCTATTAACCAAGACCATATCTATCATTTTCTAAGTAAGACATTTTTTAGAGAAGAAGCATAATAACTATCATTGGTATATATATATATATATAAATGTCATAAAAATCCTGTGTATATTTTTGGTGACTATCAAAGTTTGAACATGTTGAGATTCAGTTTTTTTATGCTAGTGATTTAAGAGATTGTATATGTTGTTGAAGTCATAAAAATTAGTGGACTAGAGCCTACTAACAAAAAAATACTACCAGGATATAAATTAGATCCTTTGTAAAGGTCATTATTGCTACAAATATCCAAAATGGATTTAAAATTACAGGAATAATAGTGCACCACTTGATTCTCAGAAACATAAGACATTTCTAAAGACATCTAAAAATATCCTTCCTCAATTGTGTTTCTTTTTGGAATCTGTCTAATAGAACTATATCTTAAAACTTTATGATTTCCAATATTTAATCCGTTATTTGGAAAACCCAAACAAGCATAATTGAGGAGTCATTATTTTGTTTGAATATCATATATACCCATACTATGAAATTATAGAAATATTAAATGCCATAATAAAGATTCTGACATATATTGGAGATATATTAGAAAATATTTTATTTAACCATTTTCTATCAAGGAACCAAAGGAAACATTTTAAAACAAACATTTTTATTAGTAAAACAGGTGTGACAGGTTTTTGGTCGAATTGAAATTCATGAAAGATTTTAAGTGCTTACTATGTTTCAGTAACATGGAAAAATATAGGTAAGACATATGCTCTTGTATCAAGGAATTTATAGTCTGTCAAGATAAAGAGTAAGGTGGAGTAAGTTACAAGGAAGGTACCTAAAGCAGAATGTTATCACAGACTAAAAGATAACAACTAACCTAGACTAAGCAGAAGGAGGCTAGGATGGATTTTAGGAATATCAGTACATTATCATAAACTTATTCAGCTGGACATGCCAATCATCTGCTGTCCTGATGTGGTCTTTTTTTTTTTCCTAGAGAATATAAACACAGCACCTTGTGCCTTGTAGTTAACTAATCATCCAGTGAATGCTTTTAACTCTGCACCTGTTAATACAGACCAAACCAGACCCATTTGATTTCACTTAGACAGAAAAAGAAAAAAGGTGTCATTCACTTTCCTGAAGGATATATCAACCCTCTAGCTCTCTCTCAAAATGTAAGGTATAGGGACCTGTATAATTGTATTCTTCCAGAAGACATCATGCTAGTTCCCTCTATTAATTGTAGCAGTCTTATTGGACTCTGTAAGCAGGATGTATTGAATATCTCAGAAGCCTTGGTAAGATACTTGTATGCCTGAAAATGAGAAATAGAGCCCCATAAAAATTCAATGTCTGACCTTTTGTTTAAGTTTCAAGGTTTTCTTCAGTCTGAGCCATGAAAACATATCTGCTCCAAGGTAAATGGAAAGAGGCTATATCTGAAATCTACAACCAAGAAAATAGCGTGGTGCCTTTTGGGACTCTCTGAAGTCTAGAGGCAACATATAACAGTTTTAGGTATGCTACTGCAACATATGTACCAAGAAACTCGGAAGCTCACTGTTTTGACCTGGCCCGGAACAATACAAGGCTCTAGAATTCTGGAGCAAGTTGAACTGCCACTGGGCCATATGAACCCAGAGATTTAGTGGTACTTGAAGGGTCTGTGGCAGTTGGTGTTATATGGAAAGGGTCCCCTTTAGGAAAACTCCAGCATACCCTCTTATGATGTGGAAGTAAGCCAGTCCATATTCTTAAGATAACTTTTATTTGTTTGACATACAAACAACAGCAGAAAAGTAATTTCTGGCTTGATACTAGGTCCTACTAGCAGTAGAAAATTTGATTGGGGTTGCCAACATACCATGCACATCTGAGCTGCCTGTCATGATCTGGCTGTCATCTGACCACAGAAGCCATACATTTTGGCGTTTGCAATACTATTCATTGTGAAGTACAGGAAGTATATAATATTGGGCTTGAACAGGTCCTGAAAACACAATTAAGTTACATGAGAAAGAGGCTCAGACCCCAATAAATCTACTTTTATTTTATTTTTAAATTTAATTTTAGTTTTCATTAACAAATAATAATTGTATATATTTATGGGGTACAATGTGATATTATGATACATGTATACATTGTGGAATGATTAAATCAAGCTAATTAATATATCCTTTACCTCACATACTTATGTATTTGTGGCGAGAACATGTACAATCTACTCTTTTCACAATTTCAAAATATACAGTAAATTAACTATAGTCACTATGTTCTACTATAGATCATTATAACTTATTCTTCTGTTTAACTGAAACTTTGTACCCTTTGAGTAACATCATATTTTTCCCTATTCATTCTGCCACCAGTGTTTGGTAACAATCATTCCGCTCTCTATTTTTATGAGTTTGACAGTTTTAGATTGCATATACAGGTGAGACCATGCAGTGTTTGTATTTCTGTGCCTGGCTTATTTCACTTCACATAATGTCTTGTAAATTCATCTATGTTGTTGTAAGGGACAAATTTCTTTCTTTATAAAGGCCTTCTATTGTGTATATCTGCCGCATTTTCTTTATCCATTCATCCACTGATTGACATAAGTTGTTTCCATATCTTGGCAATTGTAAACAATGTTGCAATGAACATGGGAGCCAGATATTTCTTCAAGATACTGATTTCCTTTCCTTTAGATGTATATTCAGAATATATATCTGGATCATATAGTAATTCTATTTTTAGTTTTTTGAGGAAACTACAAAGTTTTCCAAAATTGATATACTAATTTATATTCCCACCAACTTTATACAAGGTTCCTTTTTCTCCACATCCTTGCTAACACTTGTTACCTTTTATCTTTTTGATGATAGCCGTTCTAACAGGAGTGGGGTGATAATTTATTGTTGTTTTAATATTTCCCTGATTATTAGTGGTGATGAGCATTTTTTCATATACTTGAGAGCCATTTGTATGTCTTCTTTTGATAAATCTCTCTAGGTGATTTGCCTTTTAGTAGGATTGTTTGTTTTCATGCCATTGAGTTGTTTGAGTTAATTATACAGTGTGGATATTAGCCTCTTATCAGATACAGGATTTGAAATATTTTCCCCCAATCTGTAGATGATTTCTTCTAATAGTTAATTGTCATTTGCTGTGCAGAACCTTTTTAGTTTGATGCAATCCTATTTGTCTATTTTTGCCTGTGCATGCTTTTGTTGCCCCCAAAAGCATGGTCATATTCAAGGAATTATACACATGTCCACATTTAAAGCATTAATTCCTCTCTACAAACCCACACTTAAGGCTTTTGAAATTTCCCATGACAAGTTGTCTCAGGAAAAATAAATGTATATCTGGTTTATCAATGGTTTTACATCTTATGCTGGTGTATTAGAGTTATCCAGAGAAACAGAACCGATAGGATATATAAATCTAGAGTGAGATTTATTATAAAGAATTGGCTTACACACATATGGAGGCTGAAAAGTCCCACCATCTGCCTTATGCAGGCTGGAGAACCAGGAAAACTGGGGATATAAATTCAAATTTCAGTTTAAAGACTTGAGGAATGGAAGCATCAACGGTGTAAGTTCCAGTTCAATGGCAGAAGAAGACCTTTGTCTCAGCTCAAGCAGCCAGGTAAAGACAGAAAATTCAACCTTCCTCCACCTTTTTGTTCTATTCAAATCCTCAGTGCATTAGATGATGCTTACCCAGCCCAATCCAATTTACTCATTCACAAGTTCAAGTGCTGCTCTCTTCCGGGAACACAGACACATCTAGACACATCCAGAAATAATGTAGCATACCCAGGTCTCTGGGAATTCCATGGCCCAGTAAAGGTGACAGATGAAGTTCACCATCATAGCTAGGAACACCTAAAAGTAGATGACTGTAGTATGATGTTCTTGGTCAGGCATGATGCAGAACAATGGTGAAAGAAAATCTTCCCGTGGGAAGAACTCACAAGAGTACATCTGGTTGTTTAGTTTGCTTGGAAAAGAGGTGGATAAATGTCAGATTCATGCTGATTTATGAGCAAAGACTAATTATTTGGCTGGATGGTGAAGGACTTAGAAGGAAAAATATTGGAAAATTGTTTACCAAGAGGCCTGGGAGGATGTCATAGACCTCACAAAATTGGCACAAAAGCAAAAGGGTATTTTTGTCTTTTGTAGATGTCCACCAAATGGCACCTACTGCAGATCAGGCTCTTGGTAATCACATGGAAATGATGGCCCATTATACAGAAGGTCAGCGGACCTTCCTGCCCAGCCATGCTAATCATTGCTGAAAGGGCTGATGAACCAAGTGACTGTGGAAGTAGCTATGGAAGCAGGCTTGAGCTCAACAGTGTGGATTATGTGCTACAGCTATTGGTGAGTTCCCAACATGTCAACAACATAAAGTGACACTGAGCCACCAATATGATAATGTTTCCCAAGTGAACAAGCCAGCACCTGGTGACAATTTGATTGTATTGGGCCACCCATCACAGAAGAGGAAACAATTTACTCTTCCTGGAATAAAGGATGATTCTGGAAATGGATTTGTCTTCATTGCCAACAATGATCCTGCCAAAACACCATTCATGATTTTGGAGATTGCATTATTCACTGTCAGAAAATTTTCCACTGCATTTCTTCTGAACAAGGGAATTATTTTAAAGCAAATGAAGTTTAACAAATAGGTCTTTGCCAATGGAATTCATAGTTCCTACCATATACCCCGGCCTCTGCCTAATTGAATAGTGGAATGCACTACTTGCCTTATAGCATGGAGGAAGGGGTTCAGAAGACACTTAGATCACCTTTCAGGTATCAGGTTATAAACTACATGCAGAAGTTAAGTTCCAGACGTTATATACCAAAGATGCTTCTATTTCTCCTATAGCTATACTTCATGGGTCCAGGATGTAAGGAATGCAAAGAGAAGCTTTTCTTTTATTGCTATACCTAATGAACTACAACTGTGGCCTCTAAATTGTTTAGAAGTCTTACCTGACTAAGGAGAAATGTTCTTATTAGGGATACTACAGGGACAATGTCAGAGGGAAGATAAGAACTATGTTTCTCAGAATATCTTATCCTTAATGTTAGAGTTTGCCAGCAAGAAGAAATTGCATGAGATTCTAAAGGCAGGGAAAAAGCCAAATCCACTGTTTTCTGGAGGTGATTGTACCCAGATAAGGATATTTATTGGTTACAAGTTCTTTCATTACCCATTTTACTCATTTTTGTCTAAATCCAGTATTCAATATACCGTGACATTTTATTTGATTGTATCTTGATATTTCAGCTTTTTTTACAGTTTATTGACTTGTTCCATTGAACTAGTATAATAAAGAATTATGAGATCTCATATTATTATTCCTTATTTTCAATAACTTTACTGGGTATTTAAAAATCTTACCAATCCCCCGCAATAATAACAGGTCAAAATCTCAAATTATAATCTTCCATTCAAAACTATTTTCCCTGTGTTCAATAGCATCAATAGTCTATTAACATCTTAAATATTGTAAGAAGTCCAGTTCAAATCCTCCCTCTTTCATGAAAACTTTTCTTACCATTATTTTTCTCTTGATCTGTAATTCCCCAGCCCACAGCCTATGTCACACAATACACTGGCTACATTTTTCCTAAAACATATTGAGCATATATTGTGCTATTGAAATGCTAGCTGTATTAAATGTTGCTGGCGAGACTTGACAGAGAGAAAATGGGGTCCAGTATGCCCTCTGAAAACTTCTTACAATCTATCCTATTTCCCCATTAATAAATTTACTGGAACAAAAACAAAGGTTGATTTTCAGACTATTTGGTCATCTTCAGAGATATTGAACAAGAAGTGAGTCACTCAGCTCAGGAACGTCAGGCTACTCCATAGAAAGTTAGGTCACTAAACATAAAAGTAAGAGGTACAGAGTCCTGGTAGTACTCTGACAACTCCCATTCCATTAGACTCTGAAGCATCTGATCAAATCAAGAAAGAGATATTACCTAAATTAAAAGCATATGCAATATATTCCCTGGAGGTCCAGGATGCCTCCCCTATGTGGCAGCAGCTACAGTCCTGCCTTACACACCAGCAACATCTGCTGAGAGTGAAATGGAGTGATGTAAAAGCCCCATAACATCACCTTTCTTAATTTTGCCTCAGGCTGCACGTCAACATTTATCTGTTTGTAAGTGGTAATGATTGAAGGATTTATGGTAAGAATTTCAACATCACTTTGTAGTCTTCTGTGGAGGTAGAAATCTAAGAAAAGAATTTTTGATAAACTAGCCTATCCTTGAGGAGTGATGTTTCATTTCCATTTATTGCAAATATGTGGTTTTCAAAATGAAATAAAATTCAGCCCAGGAGCAGCCAGAGAGCAATGAAAAGAAACAGCAGGCTGTGGTGAGAAAAGAAAGCTTAAAAACAGTGTGGACAATTCCTTTTTTCTGGTTTTAGCAGCTCATATTTGCTCATTTCTCCAAACACTTTTCAGACCTGGCAGATAAGTGTGAGACTGAAGATTGCACAGCAACAAAAATTACTGTCACGGTTACCTAATATCACTGAGAATAAAAGTGCTGTTCTGATTGTTAACGGAACCCAAAGTGCCCCCAAACAAGGCTTTGAGGAGAGTTGATCTGAAAAGGAAACAGATACCCAGTCCTTATCCCAACTTGACTCTTCAATAAATTCTCTACTTCTCTGGAAAAAAACTTTTTATTTTTGTAACATGACAAACAAAATCTTATGATGAAAAGCCAGGATCAAAAGAGTGCCTCTGCTAATGATCTTTAGGACAAAAAATTTAAAATAAAAAATGAAAAGAAAACCTAACCTGGCAGTTAGTTGTAAAGGCTAAACTGGATTTTGTTATTAGTTTCAGCTCTACTACAGAGAGGATCTTACTGAGAGTTGTAAAGTCCCTTTAAAAATGCCATCAACTCTGACAGAAATGTAAGCCCTAGCTAGAGACATTTTGCTATTTATTCCAAGAACAACTAGATGCACATAATTAATTAGCTAAAAATACTTATTTTTCCATATTTATAACCACTACATTAGGTGAAAAAGATAAAAACCTTGCCTTGGAACCTTATAGAATGTAGCATAGAGTTACAACTTTGGGATTTAAACCAAAGTCTCAAAAATGGCTGTAATAAAATCTAACCTGTATTTTTTAAAGTATGTATTAGTTTTTAGCTCCTCATGGTCCCATCCTTATTCTTTTTTCCTTTTTTTCATCTTTATTTCTTCATTTTTCTCTTCCTCCCCCTCTGTCTTCATTCTTTTATCCGATTTTTCCCGTTTTTTTTCTTAAACTTTGGTAGCTAATAGGGTGTATTTAACCCCCTTCCTCCGTTTTTGGCATTGCATTGGTAAAGTCATACTCAAATCAGTTAAATATTCAGGTTCAAAATAATTCACTGGGTTGCAACAGTGAGATTCCATAACAGATAGAAGATGATATATAGATAAATAGTTAGATGATAGATAGATGGATGGATAGATAAATATAAAAACACAGACGTGTGGAAGACAGAGAGGTATTTAAATATATCCACATGATTATATTTCACAAGTGTACAGTAATCAGATGTCCCATATTTTAAAATCACATTGAAAATACAAGTAGCTTCTTTCATGTTGGCTCCCATATAATTAACTGAGCAGAGAAGAGCAAAAGTGATTTTAAAGATAGCGCAGGTTAAAGACTACAGAATTAGAAACCAGGTTATGTAATTCACACAGTTCTTTCTCATATCTACCACCCATCTGTCACTGTTTATCCTAAATCACAAGCATTCATTAAATTCTTAAATCCATTTAATTTTTCCTCTTGCTCTTTAACTAACTTTTCCCCAGTGTTCTCCAAGTTCTCAAGTTCTATTGTTAGTTTATGTTAGATATGTTTTTAGGTAGCTTCTTCCTTTCTCATGCTTTTTCATACTCGCTCTCAAGTGTCAGAATGATCACTGTGCAAGGTAGAAGTTCCACACTTACCATTTAAAGACACTTTTTACATGGTATTTATGTAAATCCAGGGCTCCCCAGACTTCTAACAACTTTGCCACATAAAGTTTATAACAATCTATCATAATTGAAGCTCTTGGGAGTGGAGGAAGGTAGAAGACTGATTTGACACAGTGGGATGAGAGCCTGAGGCAGGAAGGAAGACCAGGGCATATTACAAAAGCGCTGTCACTACATTTCTTAAATAAATGACTTTCTATATAAATATATACTTGTTGTGGGGCTTATACTTCATAAAATGCGAAAAGCATTGATGAAACTCACTTCTCTTTCTAATCTTCCACTTTATCACATTTACCTTTTATCAACTAAAAAGTCTTGGAGCATTGGTTTATCCAGTATAACATATAATAGCCAAATTGCCAGACATTGAGCAATCACTGTGCTCACACAATGGGATATTTATTTGCATGCCCAGAGCCTATTGGGTAGTTTTCAGTCAGAAGCCCTTCTGGAAATTTTTCTTTGATGTTCGTAAGTGGGCAAAACAAAACAAAAAAAAAAGGAATAAAAGAAAAATCTAGATGTCAGCTTTCTTATTTTCCATTGATTCAAGTGTAAGTGATTCAAGAACTTCTTCTGCAAGGCTCTAGAAGCTCATGTGGTGTGAACTATCAGACGAGTGCTGAAGAGAAGCATTTTCTAGTCTTTGGCAGAGTATTGGATCTGATCAAGAATGCGCTAAAATTCCAAATGACAGAAAATACTACTGGATGAAACAATTCTCAGAAAAATCCTTAGCCCGAGAAGAGACCCCAGATATTATATATGGGAGTAAGAAAATTTAATCCTAGAGTAAAGGCTGTCCTGGAACTGTCCAAACAACGCTTAAAAGCAAACCTCAAAGGGAATAAGATGATTTGCAAGTAAGTTCACTACGTGCTGAAACAAAGCCCAACAGTCCTTAGAGTAATAAAAAAAATGCCTTTTGCAACATAAAATTCATAATGTCTGGTATCCCAAAACAGTTTACCAAATACAGTAAACAAAAGACAACATGCCTAGGTGCCCATCTTTATATATTTCCTCCCAAAACAGTAGAGACAAAAAAAATGTGAGGTGGGAAGAAGAGATTCTATTTTGAATGCTTGTGACCTTCCTCCCTCACTCAAATTCATATATTGAAGCCTAATCCCCACTATGAAGGTATGAAGAGGTGGAGTCTTTGGGAGGTGACTAAGTCATAAGGGTGGGGCCCTCAGGAATGGGATCAGTACTCTTATAAAGAGGCCTGAGGGCACTTGCTGGCCCTTCCACCAGCAAGAAGGCATGATCTCTGAGGAAGTGAACCCCCACCAGGCACGACCACTTCCTTGATCTTGGACTTCCCAGCCTCCAGAACTGTGATAAATTTATGTTGTTTAGAACTTACCCAGTCTAAGATATTTTGTAATAGCAGCCTGAAGAGACTAAGTCAGAGATAAAACTACAAAACAAAATAAAACCCCCAAACATCCTCAGCATAATTTTAGCACTGAAAATTTGTAAAATTCAAAACATCTGTAAAGAAAAGAGAAAAACAGCAAATCTCAGTATGCAACCACTTATGCTGTCTTCCCAGATCTATTCCATTGAAATACTTGAGTTAAGCAGGGGCAGGCTGAGAAAAACTGCTGGGAAGGGAGAAGCGTGGGCCTAGTAAGATGCTCTAGGGTTCATTTAAAACCATCACCAGAAAGTTGACCCTCTGTCTGAATATAAGTTTAATTTTTTTTTTTAAAGAGGAAAAAGTCCGAGTAGGTGTGGTCAGCTGAGTAATGCTGCCCTACAAAGGTAACCTCATGCCAGAACTTGGGAATATGTATAATTGTTCTTGGCAAAATGACTTTGCAGATGTAAATAAACTGAGGATATTATATGGGTGGGCCTTGTCTTATCACATGGGTTCTTAAAAGCAGGGAACCTTTCTCAGTTGTAGTGAGGGAGAGAGCTGTGCTTAGGAAGAGAGAACCTGAAAGGTGGCAGCAGCAATGTGAGAAAGACCCTCTTGGCTGTTGATGGCTTTGAAGATGGAGGAAGGAGGCCAAAAGCCTACATATGTAGTCATTTTCTAGAGCTGGAAAAGGCAAGGAAATGAAAGAACTCTGCTGATATCTTGATTTTAGCTGGGGACACCCATGTAAGACTTCTGACCTACAGAACTGGAAGATAAATTTATGTTGTGTTAAGCCACTCAATTTGTGGTCATTTGCTATGGCTTCAGTGGAAAACATACTAGATCAGAACATAAACTGCAGGGAAGGGGCTTTAAAAGTTAACATAATCTACACATATCTATTGCGATTGAGCTGGTTTTTATATGCTCCTCATGACTTTGTATTTTCCCTATCCATGCCTGATTTCATGCAGCCTCATGTTCAATAATTCAGCAAGGAGGTCAGTTACTGCCTCCTGAATTCACCCTTGGCTCTCAAAGAAGCAAGTTATATAAAGCACCCAAGTTAGTGAAGTCCTCCGATGACAGGATCTACCATAGTCATGTCAGAGGTGTTAAATTAACATGTGTCCTTCTGACCTCCATAAAGCCAGTGTAGGTCACTTGCATTCATTACACTCCTACTACCTTGAAAGGGGTATTGTATTTTTGAGTCAGAGAGGGGGAAATGTGATTATACCTCACAGAAAACTGTGTTAAACCCACAGTTTCACCCACGGAAGCAGGTTAGTTGTATTATCCTACGGAAGAGTCAGCTTATGAAAGTGTGAAGCCACTGGGGGATCAGTTTTCACCTAAATTACACCTTACATGCAGCAGTATTAAAATTAATAATGTATCCCTCTCCCCTTTGATCATTAATTATAAAAATCTATGCCAATATTTTTTGTCAGGCTTCTACTGGTACTTCTTGGTAGTGATATAACTTCCTAAGAGAATATTTTCAGGATTTTGTAGTAACCTGACTTTGGTTGGTCTCCAAGTACCCATATAATTTTCCAGTAATCAATAGTCTCAGCTGAGTTACTTTGCATGGAACTATTGAGATTTTCCAGGAACATAAAATATACAAGAGAATATAAAAGTCCTTTTTGTGCAGAAGTAATTTGATTTTTATTTACTAATTTTAAAATATATTAAGATTTTCCAGTTAGCAATTTATTACTGATTCCTTGCACAATATAGTTTAGTAAGAGATACAGTGCCCATAGTTAAAACTTGTTGACACTTGGCTTATGGATAAGCATATGACCATTTTTTGTTATTTTTCTATTTTGCTTAAACAACTGCCTACTTGCTCTTGTTGGATTCAGCTTTCTATGTGTGTCCATGAAATCAAATTTCTTTATCATGTAGTTCAGATATTTTAAAGTCTTACTCTTTTCTCTTATTGTTCTATCAATTATTCTGACCACATGTCTATTTTTCTATTTGTTAATATTTGTTTTCTATATATATGTGTATATGTTTCTGTATGTGTATGTATATATATGTTATTTGTGCATGCAAATTTAGAATTATTATGTCTTCTTGTGTTTTGAATGTGATATTAAATAAAGTTGTACTCTATTTTCTTCAGATTTTCCTGTTTCAGAGAGATGATCTGAATCACATACTCAGCTATTGTAAGAAGTAGAATAATTCTCTATTCAATCATCAACCAATTTCTTAATTAGTTGCTTTTAAAATTCTAAAATTTCCAATTATTTTTAATTCTTTTCGTTTATCTGCTGAAATTCTCCATCTTTTCTCTTATAAACTTGAACAAGAAAATCCCTTAGTTATTTGGGTATTTCTTCCTGATATCTTACATGTCCAGTTTCTCTGCATGTCAGATTCTATTGTCTGTTGTTTCTACTGGTTTTTATTCACATTCCCTTTTTTCATATTCTTGTTAACTTTTTATTATGTTAAACACCTCCCTTTGTAAAATTGTAGAATAACCTTGTGGACAATAATTTACTTCTTCTTTGTGTATATTTACTTATGGAAGACAGTTATTGGCACAAACAATTCCAAATAACTGTAATTCTTTTTCAGAAGTTAAGATTTTTGAGGCTGAGCCATATTGCTCACAAAAAGCTCTGATTTACTTTTGTCCTTACTACTGTGATGTAACCCTTTGTAATGTAAACCCAAAATGAAGGGTTTATGCTTACTATCTTCCTTATTTAGCTGGCTCTGGTTCTCCAGTTTCCCACTGGGATTACTTATCATGCCAATGATGGCAAAACTTGCTCTCAGATATTTACCTGTTATCTACCAAATTGATGAATGCTCCCATAAAATATGTTCCACCTGACTGAGTCATTTTCCTGTCCTAATGGTATTCTCTAAGTCTTCATTACCAGTTTATCCCTTTGATGCTCTTTAAATAAATCCATTTTATATTTTGTTCAGCTTTTCTATTTGCCCTCTATTTTTGAGGAGTGGGATTAGGGATTTTGGTCTGATTTACTATAATCTGCCATCATCAAAATTGTATACTTACTTTTAGTTTTAGCTACTTCTTGTTTGCTGTAGTTGTCAGCAAAAGATTGTTCTCTCATACATTTGCTTTTAGAATCACCTTTTACCCTTATTACCTATATTAATCCCACCATAAACATAAAATAAGATCTATTGGTAAACCACATGATATAAACCTCATAATTGGTAAACCTCATAATATAAACTGCCTTCTTTGTACAAATATTATTTCCAAGTGGAAATATTTACTTAATTAACTTCATGAGAGCAGCCACCAGCTTTTCCATTGTGACCAATTATTTCCTTGCTTCACTTCTCCTGTGAGCTAGCATTTGAAGAACTTTCTATCCAGAGAGATATGGAGCAAAGTGTCAAAGATCCATAAGTCAATTAACATCTTTCTTCATACATATTGACATTTTAAAATTCTATTTATCAATTTTGGGACATCTCATAATTAAATATTAAGAGCAACTACATCCTCAGAAATAATCAAACTTCAAAATAAGGTCACATTATGATGAAAATTAACTAGTTCTCAGATGCAAGGCATTTATACTTGCCACACCACCTAGACTTCCCTTCATTTTCTATTTTCCTAGAGGACATAGGGAACAATGCTAGCTGGAAAATAAAGTTCAATCACCCTTACAAACGTGTAGACAAGTGCCACTTTCTCTGATTACTAAAGTAGCAATTCTGTGATGCCTCTGAAAAATAAGCAAAATGGAGAAACCAATCAACTACGTCAAGATATAAGCTCTTAAAATCCAAGTACAGAATTCCCAAAATATAGAAAAATATAAATAATAAAAATAAGAATACATTACAATGACAGTCCCCTTCTGTTGTCACAATGGGTCGCTTTGCAGTTACACACAGCCAAATAACCCTATGCCTTTTTCAGATGAAGAGAATTTTAGCTCCAACCATAATGGAGCTGTAGAAATAGATACAACCATAACGTCCTTGTAACAGATCATAGGAGACTAGTACGCCTTGTCATCTGTTCCTATATTACAAGTCACTCCAAAATGTAGTAGCTTAGCACAACAATTATTAGTACTTTGTACTGGAATCGGTTGGATAATTGTTTTGCTGCCTTTGCTTAGAGTCATTCATGGAGCTACAGTATCTGTCACCTCAGCTGTGGCTAGAAGATATAAGATGATCATCTATGTCTGTTGATTGGTGCTGACTGCTGGCTATCAGATTAGTAAAGAATCTAGTAGGCTATCCCAGTCTTCCTCATATGACAGTCAAAAAAATGATTAGGCTTAAAATTTATACAGTATCTCTACTGCCATGTTCTGTTGGTTAGGGCAACTAACAAAGCCAGTCTAGATTAAGGTATGAGCAAAGAGACTCCACCTTTTGATGAGAGTTACTGCACATTGTTTGTGGTTATTTTTAATCTACCAATTACTAGTGAGACCTCCATCTCAAAAAATAAATAAAAATAAATTTTAAAAATTAGAGGCTCCTCAGATGCTTTCCTCAGGGAAAATCAAATACATTCTTCCTAAATACAAAAAATACTCATCCTGTCCTAAGATAGTCAAAAGTCTTAGCCAATCAAGGCATCGGATTCAAAGTCAAATATCTTTTAGCTGCTTCTGGTTCAGATATGGATGTTGCCTCCTTGGGTACATCTTCTCAAGTGTAGCTTCTATTGGTCTATAGACATGTGAATTAAAAAAATTATTTTGTTCCCTATGGATCCAACAAAAAATTGTACAGGTATTGCATGACATTCAAAAGAGGCAGGATAAGTTCATGCATTCACTCATCTGCATAATTCTAAAATCCAGCTGGGTATGTGTTGTCAGAATCCTCTACCTCAGGTGCAGAAAATGTTTCTTCTTTAGAACGCAATTTTTCTTCTTTGGAGTGATTCCATAATCCACTGGCCTCCAGAACTCAGGATCTACCCTGCAGATTCCTGACTACACGCACTGAAACGTTTTTCCTCTTCTATTGAAAATGGTCCATGTTTGCAGTTGGATACATTTTTCAGCCAGCTTCCTGCCCACAGATAATTAGGTGCTCCAAAAATATTTTTTATTGGAAATTGTCCCTATCCATTTTAATCCATACTGATACAACTCTCTTAATAATGAGCAGAGGCTAGGCACAATGGCTTATGTCTATAATCCCAGCACTTCGAGAGGCTGAGGCAGAAGGATCACATGAGCGCTGGAGTTCAAGACCAGCCTCGGCAATATGGCATACCCTGTCTCCACAAATTTGTTTTTTTAATTAGCCAGACATCATGACACATGACTGTAGTACTAGCTACTAGGGAGGCAGAGGTGGGAGGATCACTTGAGGCCAGCAGTTTGAGGTTACAGTGAGCTATAGCTATGATTGTGCCACTGCACTCCAGGCTGGGTGACAGAGTGAGACCTTGTCTCCAAAAAATAAAAATAAAAAATAAAATAATGAGTGGGCTTTGTAATCATCAGTTTATAGTCTACTAAATTAACAAATGTCACACACACATTTTAAGACTACTTTCCTCCATACTTATCAGTGCTATTTGAGAATGAAACCAAACTTAGGTACTCACACACATTGTCAGGTAGCTGAAGATGTTCACTAGACTCCACCTTAAATATATATATATATATTTTTTTTTTAACAGAGGTTTTAGGTTTTAACAGAGTCTTATTGTCAAGAGTCTTATAGTCACATCCTTAGTAAAATATTTATGCTAAGCCATTTCTTATTTGGGAATCTTTTGCCATCTTGAAAATAAAAGCGGCTGGGCATGGTGGCTCATGTCTGTAATCCCAGCACTTTGGGAGGCCAAGGTGGGAGGATCACAAGGTCAAGAGATCAAGACCATCCTGAACAACATGGTGAAACCCCGTCTCCACTAAAAATACAAAAATTAGCTGGGCATGGTGGCACGTGCCTGTAATCCCAGCTACTTGGGAGGCTGAGGTAGGAGAATCACTTGAACCCGGGTTGCAGTGAGCTGAGATCGCACCATTGAACTCTAGCCTGGGTGACAGAGTCAGACTCCATCTCAAAAAAAAAAAAAAAAAAAAAAGCAATATGAGAATCTTTATTTTTCAACTTGGCAAGTACTGGTTTCTTTATATTTTCTTTACATTCTTCTTACAAATGGAACATTTCTCTTTTTCGTTTACTTCTCTCTTCCCATACTTTATCATCCACAGCCAAAAGGAGCCAATTGATATTTCCAGCTTCCTGTTTGGAAATCTCTTTAGCTATATCCAAAATTAATTAAATATATGTTTTGACTTTCAATTAACCTCCAATTGTTAATAGCCTTGCCGATCGTTTTCACATTTTCTCAAGGCTCAGCATTTAATTTCTTTCGTGTTTCTGCCCCCACCAGAAGTTTCATAGCCACTTTCACAACCTCTGACTGCTTGCACCCAGATGTCATGCCACATGTTTGGGACTTTTAAAACATTTGGGGGCTATATAACCCATTTTCTATTGCTGTGCAATAACCACATCAAAAACTTAGTGTCTTAGAGCAAAGTTATTTTATATTTTGTTGCAGGAAGTCAGGGACCCCAAACGGAGGGACCGACTGAAGCCATGGCAGAAGAACTTAAATTGTGAAGATTTCATGGACATTTATTAGTTCCCCAAATTAATAGTTTTATAATTTCTTATGCCTGTCTTTACTGCAATCTCTAAACATAAATTGTGAAGATTTCATGGATGCTTATCACTTCCCCAATCAATACCCTTGTGATTTCCTATGCCTGTCTTTACTTTAATCTCTTAATCCTGTCATCTCGTAAGCCGAGGAGGATGTATGTCACCTCAGGACCCTGTGATAATTGCATTAACTGCACAAATTGTAGAGCATGTGTGTTTGAACAATATGAAATCTGGGCACCTTGAATAAAGAACAGGATAACAGCAATGTTCAGGGAACAAGAGAGATAACCTTAAACTCTGACTGCCAGTGAGCCGGGCAGAACAGAGCCATATTTCTCTTCTTTCAAAAGCAAATGGGAGAAATATTGCTGAATTCTTTTTCTCAGCAAGGAACATTCCTGGGAAAGAGAATACATGCCTGGGGGTGGGTCTCTGAACTGGCCCCCCTGGGCGTGGCCATCTTCTATGGTCCAGGCTGTAGGGGTGAAATAGACCCCAGTCTCCCATAGCGCTCCCAGGCTTATTAGGAAGAGGAAATTCCCGCCTAATAAATTTTGGTCAGACGGGTTGCTCTCAAAACCCTGTCTCCTGATAAGATGTTATCAATGACAATGGTGCCCGAAACTTCATTAGCAATTTTAATTTCACCCCAGTCCTGTGGTCCTGTGATCTCGCCCTGCCTCAATTTGCCTTGTGATATTCTATTACCTTGTGAAGTAGGTGATCTCTGTGACCCACACCTATTCGCACACTCCCTCCCCTTTTGAAAATCACTAATAAAAACTTGCTGGTTTTATGGCTTGTGGGGCATCATGGAACCTACCGACATGTGATGTCTCCCCCGGATGCCCAGCTTTAAAATTCTCTCTTTTGTACTCTGTCCCTTTATTTCTCAAACCGACTGACGCTTAGGGAAAATAGAAAAAACCTACGTGACTATTGGGGCAGGTTCCCCGATAATATTTTACTCATGGTGGACTGTCCTCCTGCTCATCTCACCTTCCTTCAGTCAGAGGGTTGCATCATCCAAATTCTCACTGGAGCTGGGAAGTCTGTGGTGGCCTCATTCTCATGTATGACTGTGGGTGTTGGCTATTAGGTGGGGTATATGGTGGCAATATCCAGTCATGATAATGGTGCAAGTTTTGAGCCTCTTAATGCCTGGACTTTGGAATTGCATAATTTTATAGTTTTTAATTTGTCAAAAAACAGTCACAAGGGCAGTCCAGACTCAACTCATGGAGAAACCAATGCCTCTTCTTGAAAGGAGGAGCAGTAGAGAATTTGTGACCATTTTTAATCTACCTATGTCCCATGTACATTAGCTGATTTTATTCTCCAATCTCAGCTTCCTGTATCCAAATGGTGTGGTTCAAAATCAAGATATGTTTACTATTAATTTTCTCTCAAGAGCTCTCAGTCTGTTTTATAACAACTTATTTTTGTCTTTACCGCTGCTTTTCTGCTCAGAGTTTCCTATCAAAGCCAGGTGCAGTGCTGCATGCCTGTCCCAGCTACTTGAGAGGCTCATGTAGAGGACCACTTGAGCCCAAAAGCTTGAGTTCTGCCTGGGCAACTTAGAAAGACCCCCTATTTCTAAAAATAAAAATAGATTTTAAAAATTATTTTTAATAATTATTTTATACAGATTTTCTTTACTCTCCCATAATAAACAGTCTTAAAATATTTAATTCATGTTTTCATTTCATTTTCTTTTTTTTTTATTTTACTTTAAGTTTTGGGTTACATGTGCAGAACATGAAGGTTGGTACATAGATATACATGTGCCATGGTGGTTTGCTGCACCTATCAACCTGTCATCTAGGTTTTAAGCCCTGCATGCATTAGGTATTTGCCCTAATGCTCTCCCTCCTCTTGCCCCCCACCCTCTGACAGGCCCCAATGTGTGATGTTCCCCTCCATGTGTCCCTGTGTTCTCTTTGTTCAACTCCCACTTATGAGTGAGAACATGCAGTGTTCGGTTTTCTGTTACTGTGTTAGTTTGCTGAGAATGATGGCTTCCTTCTCCATCCATGTCCCTGAAAAGGACATGAACTCATTCTTTTTCATGGATGCATAGTATTCCATGGTGTATATGTGCCACATTTTCCTTATCCGGTCAATCACTGATGGGCATTTGGGTTGGTTCCAAGTCTTTGCTATTGTAAATAATGCTGCAATAAACATACGTGTGCATGTGTCTTTATAATAGAATGATTTATAATCCTTTGGCTATATACCCAGTAATGGGATTTCTGGGTCAAATGGTATTTCTGGTTCTAGATCATTTTTCTATATTTAACATGGCAAAATCAATTTGAAATAACTTTTGATTCTCTCTGGTACTTTAATCCCCTTTCCTGAACATCCTAGCCATGTATAAATTACAACAAAATCCTGTTTCCAGACTTTTCTCTATCTTCTCTTCATTTGACCCACATTATTGTACTAGACATTCTAATCCACCACTAGTTTTGTTATCCCTCTCTTAATCAAAATCCTAGAGCAGTTCTTGTTCATACAGCTAGCCATTCTAAGTATTTCCAGAATTCTGAAGGCTTTTAATGATATAATGCTAATATGGTTTGTCTGTGTCCCGACTCAAATCTCATCTTGAATTATAGCTCCCATAATTCCCACATGTTGTGGGAGGGACCCACAGGGAGATAATTGAATCATGGGGTGGTTTCTCCCATGCTGTTCTCATGGTAGTGAATAAGCCTCATGAGAGCTGATGGTTTTATAAGGAGTTTCCCCTTTCACTTGCTTCTCATTCTGTCTTGCCTGCTGCCATGTAAGACGTGGCTTTGCTCCTTCTCACCTTCCACCATGGTCGTGAGGCCTCCCCAGCCATGTGGACCTGTGAGTCAATTAAGCCTCTTTCCTTCGTAAATTACCCAGTCTTGGGTATGTCTTTATTAGCAGCATGAGAACAGACTAATACACCTTGCTTATCCAATTTTACTATTGTTATATATTTATTTCCCCATTTTGTTATCTCATATATTTATACATGGCATGTTCATTTTTGACTCTTTATATTTGTTATATTTGTTTTTCTTTAATACTAAACATGAAATTATTTTTTCACTTGTTTGTATATATGAATATAGTGTCAATGCCCAGTTTAATTGGAGTCTGCTCCTCTCAGATTTCCATAACTACTTGAACTAAAACTTAAAGTTTTCTTAAAGTTTCTTAAAGTCCCAGTTTATTTATATTTACAAGCATACAGGTTAATATCAATGCCTTTACACTTTCATGGTCTTTTTTTTAATTCCCCAAATATGTAATTAGTTACTTTCATATAACAGGCACTAAGATATGTATCTGGGATACAAAGGTGGGCACGAAGCCCTCAAAATTGACAAGGCCCTTTTGTATCTAATAGTTTCATGGAGTGGGAATACATTAATAACATAATAACATCAATAAATATGTAAACACAGCTGGATAGCTGCTGCTAAAAAGAGTGTGCAGTGCTATAAAAACACAGATAAATGTGGAGCTAACCTTACCTTTGAGTTAGAGATTGTTCTTGGAGGAAGTGTTGGTAAAGTTGATATAGGAAGGTTTAGTTGCATTTAAAAAGTAACTAAGTGAAGAGGAAAGAGAAAGAGATACTCAGTAATAGAGAGAACGGTGTGAAATTCTGTGTGGTGAAAAGAAAAGAATGAAGAAAGTTGAGATGATCAATGTGACTTGAAAACACTAAGAGCAGCATGATCATCTGAGTGGAGGCTGGAGTGGGAGACATGATGCCACCCAACAGGGTCATTTAGACCATGTTGAGGGCTTTGTTCTTTCTAATAGCAATGGGAAGATATTGGATGATTTAAGTAGATAAATCATTTGGTTTGATTTATATTCTGAAAGATTACTAAAGCTATGGTTCAGGAGACTGACTGATTAGAGGCTGTCAAGATGAACGGAAGGATCCTTAAAGAAAGCACAATGGTAATGCTGAAATATAGGATAAAAGTTATCTTTACATTTTGTGAAAAGCTCATGAGTAAGTTTATTTAGTTGCCTAAGTAATGGTGGATGGGAATGATAACCAAGGTGACGCTGGCATGCTAAGCGTTCGATAGCAGGAAGGACAGTGTCTGTGTTTCATCAGGAAATAAGCAGGAAAAAGTGGGTATCAAAATAAGAAATCTTGCTGTAACTCAATGAAGAAAGTTCCCATCTAATGGCTTAGCTTTTTGTTTCTTTTATTTTTTAATCAAGCACTTTATTTAAATAAGAATGACATGTAAAATATGTGTATCTTTTATTTCTTGAATAGAAAATTTATCGTATGCCTCTGTTGCCCCCAACTTTCATCATGTAGTAATGACCTCCAGTTGAGACATAGCTTCAGCTGAATTATGTATGGTCTTGGGCTTAATTCACACTGACAATGTCTCAAATGTGCACTCTTCACTTTCTGCTTGGACTTTTCTGACAGCTACAGGCATCTTCTGGAGCCTGCTGGACAAGGACATTGAGTACTCTTGAAATGTAGGATAGTTAACAATTCCCAGGGAAACCCTTAGTCGATAGAGATTGAGAAAAAGAGTAGATATTCAATCCTACGATGGACAATTCTGAGGAGGTTGTAGGTAGGGTAAAGACCCAGTTTTCCACAGTGGTGAACTCCATAATGTACTCCTATATTGTTTGTTTCTCATATTTCTGTTCATTTTTTGCTCCTTTGCAAATGAACTACATCCATACGTATCCTTTTCTTGAACTTTGCTTCAGGGAGTCCCAAGCAAAGACAGGAAGCAGGTTCTTTTTGGGAAAATGAGAAGAGGCGTTGTGGTCAGAGGTTTGAGATAATTGATTTGGAGACAGGAAACTGAGTTATACAGGAAAACATAATAGAGATGATTGGCAAGATTTTTTTTTTCTGAAATACATGCATGCCCATATTTTCACCTCAATTAGGTAATCTCTCTGATATCAGACATGTGCTTAATAACTTCTGTGTTTTTCTTATAGTGGGTTTCTGAGTGCATTAAAATACAAACAGATAATTGTTGATTTTACAATAAAACTGATTCACTATGAATTGCTGTTTTTTTGTACTGGCTATACAATTGCTTATGTATCAGTATCATATTTTCATTAAGGAAATGCTGTATACAAAGATATAAGTGGCTAAATCAAAAAGATTTTTTTGAATATAGGATAATAGATTTAAAATTATTGCAATTTGTGGCTATGATAATTACCCTTCAAACCTGAAAAATGTAATTGTTATAAATTAAAAATATTAAATAATGTTTATATTTTCTTTCATAAAGGAATTGATTAGTAATATTGTAAGTCAATGTGGACAGAACAATAAGGTATTAATCCAATAAAGTACCCATTAAAAACACTTAATACAATTATTTTAGCATGCCCAGATAGTGGTCAATTTTGGATTACATCAAAAATATTGTGAACAACACTTTTTAGTGGTTTCAAATGTAAACATAAGAACAATTTTCTCAATGATGGTATGAGGAACTTCTTAAATCCTCTCTCCAGGGAACAAACTTAACTGGCAAAAATTGTTTTAAAAAATCAACCATTTAAAATGAGTTAGGGAGGATTCCCTCTTTTTGTATTGATTGGAATAGTTTCAGAAGGAATGGTACCAGATCCTCCTTGTAGCTCTGGTAGAATTCGGCTGTGAATCCATGTGGTCCTGGACTTTTTTTGGTTTGTACGCTATTAATTATTGCCTCAATTTCAGAGCCTGATATTGGTCTATTCAGGGATTCAACTTCTTCCCAGTTTAGTCTTGGGAGGGCGTATGTGTCGAGGAATTTATCCATTTCTTCTAGATTTTCTAGTTTATTTGCATAGAGGTGTTTATAGTATTCTCTGATGGTAGTTTGTATTTCTGTGGGATTGGTGGTGATATCCCCTTTATCATTTTTTTATTGCGTCTATTTGATTCTTCTCTTTTCTTCTTTATTAGTCTTGCTAGTAGTCTATCAATTTTGTTGATCTTTTCAAAAAACCAGCTCTTGGATTCATCGATTTTTTGAAGGGTTGTTTTGTGTCTCTATCTCCTTTAGTTCTGCTCTGATCTTACTTATTTCTTGCCTTCTGCTAGCTTTTGAATGTGTTTCCTCTTGCTTCTCTAGTTCTTTTAATTGTGATGTTAGGATGTCAATTTTAGATCTTTCCTGCTTTCTCTTGTGGACATTTAGTGCTATAAATTTCCCTCTACACACTGCTTTAAATGTGTCCCAGAGATTCTGGTATGTTGTGTCTTTGTTTTCATTGGTTTCGAAGAAAATCTTTATTTCTGCCTTCATTTCGTCATGTACCCAGTAGTCATTCAGCAGCAGGTTGTTCAGTTTCCATGTAGTTGAGCAGTTTTGAGTGAGTTTCTTTTTTTTTTTATTTTATTTTATTTTTTTTTGAGACGGAGTTTCGCTCTGTCGCCCAGGCTGGAGTGCAGTGGCGCGATCTCGACTCACTGCAAGCTCCGCCTCCCGGATTCACGCCATTCTCCTGCCTCAGCCTCCTGTGTAGCTGGGACTACAGGCGCGCGCCACCATGCCCGGCTAATTTTTGTATTTTTAGTAGAGACGGGGTTTCACCGTGTTAGCCAGGATGGTCTCAATCTCCTGACCTCATGATCCGCCCGTCTCAGCCTCCCAAAGTGCTGGGATTACAGGCGTGAGCCACCGCGCCCGGCCTTGAGTGAGTTTCTTAATCCTGAGTTCTAGTTTGATTGCACTGTGGTCTGAGAGACAGTTTGTTATAATTTCTGTTCTTTCACATTTGCTGAAGAGTGCCTTACTTCCAACTATGTGGTCAATTTTGGAATAGGTGTTGTGTGGTGCTGAGAAGAATGTATATTCTGTTGATCTGGGGTGGAGAGTTCTGTAGATGTCTATTAGGTCCACTTGGTGCAGAGCTGAGTTCAATTCCTGGATTTCCTTGTTAACTTTCTGTCTCGTTGATCTGTCTAATGTTGACAGTGGGGTGTTAAAGTCTTTCATTATTATTGTTTGGGAGTCTAAGTCTCTTTGTAGGTCTCTAAGGACTTGCTTTATGAATCTGGGTGCTCCTGTATTGGATGCATATATATTTAGGATAGTTAGTTCTTCTTGTTGAATTGATCCCTTTACCATTATGTAATGGCCTTCTCTGTCTCTTTTGATCTTTGTTGGTTTAAAGTCTGTTTTATCAGATTAGGATTGCTACCAATGACTTTCTTCACAGAATTGGAAAAAACTACTTTAAGCTTCATATGGAACCAAAAAAGAGACTGCATTGCCAAGACAATCCTAAGCCAAAAGAACAAAGCTGGAGGCATCACACTACCTGATTTCAAACTGTACTACAAGGCTACAGTAGCCAAAACAGCATGGTACTTGCACCAAAACAGAGATATAGACCAATGGAACAGAACGGGGCCTTCAGAAATAATACCACACATCTACAACCATCTGATCTTTGACAAATCTGACAAAAACAAGAAATGGGGAAAGGATTCCCTATTTAATAAATGGTGCTGGGAAAACTGGCTAGTCATATGTAGAAAGCTGAAACTGGATCCCTTCCTTACACCTTATACAAAAATTAATTCAAGATGGATTAAAGTTTTAAATATTAGACCTAAAACCATAAAAACCCTAGAAGAAAATCTAGGCAATACCATTCAGGACATAGGCATGGGCAAGGACTTCATGACTAAAACACCAAAAGCAATTGCAACAAAAGCCAAAATTGACAAATGGGATCTAATTAAACTAAAGAGCTGCGCAGCAAAAGAAACTACCATCAGAGTGAGCAGGCAACCTACAGGATGGGAGAAAATTTTTGCAGTCTACTCATCTGACAAAGGGCTAATATCCAGAATCTACAAAGAACTCAAACTAATTTACAAGAAAAAAACAAACAATCTCGTCAAAAAGTGGGCAAAGGATATGAACAGACACTTCTCAAAAGAAGACATTTATGCAGCCAACAGACACATGAAAAAATGCTCATCATCACTGGCCATCAGAGAAATGCAAATCAAAACCACAATGAGATACCATCTCACACCAGTTAGAATGGCTGTCATTAAAAAGTCAGGAAACAACAGGTGCTGGAGAGAATGTGGAGAAATAGGAACACTTTTACACTGTTGGTGGGACTGTAAACTAGTTCAACCATTGTGGAAGACAGTGTGGCGATTCCTCAGGGATCTAGAACTAGAAATACCATTTGACCCAGCCATCCCATTACTGGGCATATACCCAGAGGATTATAAATCATGCTGCTATAAAGACACATGCACACATATGTTTACTGCGGCACTATTCACAATAGCAGAGACTTGGAACCAACCCAAATGTCCATCAATGATAGACTGGATTAAGAAAATGTGACACATATACACCATGGAATACTATGCAGCCATAAAAAATGATGAGTTCATGTCCTTTGTAGGGACATGGATGAAGCTGGAAACCATCATTCTCAGCAAACTATGGCAAGGACAAAAAACCAAACACTGCATGTTCTCACTCACAGGTGGGAATTGAACAATGAGAACACTTGGACACAGGAAGGGGAACGTCACACACTGGGGCCTGTCGTGGGGTTGGGGGAGGGGGGAGGGATAGCATTAGGAGATATACCTAATGTAAATGACGAGTTAATGGGTGCAGCACACCAAAATGGCACATGTATACATACCTAACAAACCTGCATGTTGTGCACATGTACCCTAGAACTTAAAGTATAATAATAAAAAAAAAATTCAACCATTTAAAATGAGTGGAAATTTTCCTAAGGGCCTACAGCAAGTGCAGAAACATTTACTCAGGTAAATCTACTACATCTAAGTAAGAATCACTGAAGGTCTATGGTGTTCCCTTCCTCCCCATCCAGCACAGGTTGACAAAACTCTGCTCTGAGTGGGTGTGGCCAAGAAGATGGAGCTCCATCATTTCAAAGCTCTCCATTGAGAACTATGGTATCTTTCTGGAAGGTGCAGGTGGCTAACATTTCTCTTCCATCTCCACCCCCAGCTCCATGTTGTAGAGGTTAAATTCCGGGTGAGGAAAAACCAGAAGACCAGGGACACAACTTTTTTTACCCGATTGACATTTGTGCAACTAGCCCCAGCTCTCTCATAGGATGCCTGTTTCAAGGCAGGAGAGATAAACCAAGGAGTCCAGAGGCTATTCCCTAAGAGAAGCAGGCCACCCTTCCCATTTCAACTCTGGAACAGTGGAACACTGCTGATGCCTGGCGCAACATTGGTGAACCTGGAAATACTATTCTAAGTGAAAGAAGCCAGTCACAAGGGATCACATATTATATGATTCCAATTAAATGAAATGTTCAGAATAAACAAACATACAGAGATAGAAAATAGATTAATGGTTTCTTTTGGAGTTATTAAATTATTCTAAAATTAATTGTGGTGATGGTTACGACTCCGTAAACATTAAAAAAGCATAAAGTTATATATCTTAAATGGGTGAAGGGTACATTATGGTAGGTGAATTACGTCACAAATTTGCTGTAAAAATGTAAATAATATAGCACATGTTTATTTGAAACATTTAATGTAATAGTTAAGCATGCAATTATCTACCAGTAATTTTCTATTTCTTGCAACATATGGACAAAAATAGAAAGGAAATTAAACTAAAAAATTTATACAGAAGAGATTAACATAGATTTGAATTTTAGTCATGATTTAGCCTTTTTTTTTTTTTTTTTTGAGACGGAGTTTCGCTCTGTCGCCGAAGCTGGAGTGCAGTGGCGCGATCTCGGCTCACTGCAAGCTCCGCCTCTCGGTTTCACGCCATTCTTCTGCCTCAGCCTCCTGAGTAGCTGGGACTACAGGCACCTGCCACCACGCCCAGCTAACTTTTTGTATTTTTTTTTAGTAGAGACGGGGTTTCACCGTGTTGGCCAGGATGGTCTCGATCTTCTGACCTCGTGTTCTGCCCGCCTTGGCCTCCCAAAGTGCTGGGATTCCAGGCGTGAGCCACCGTGCCCGGCCTTAGCCTATTTTTTTAAGATAAGCTATGACTCTAGGAATATATTGACAGTACATTTGGGTGTACCTGAACATTCCCCAATGTAGAAATCAACTAATTAGCTTGGCCTTTTATTGTATTTCTTAGCACTATAATATGTTCATACTTAAGACTATCTCAATGCCTTTCCTGAGTACTCAAGACTGATGATTTGTAGAATGCCATTCTCTTTTTATCAGAAAAAACATACCCCAACACAATTATGTGTACAATGTTAGAGCTTAGAACTTGTAAATGTGGAGTTGCTTTTATGTTGTTTATCTTTTAATTGCAATTTAATTGAAATTTCAAAACACCAGTAGAAAAAATTCATTTTTTTGAAAGTTTAATTGTCCTTGCTAAGTAATATTCATATATTACCTGGAATTCTTCCAGTACTCTATTAAGAATCTTCTGTAACCAGGGTCCTAGGTTGTTAGGGGGTTAGAGACAAACACAGAGGCCTTCCAAGTAAGAGCTAAGACATTGAGACGAGGTCCTGAGATGTTCCAAGGGGAGGAATGTTTTGTCTCCATTTATTCCCTCCTGTAGACACAACCTGAGAACCAGTTGTCATTTCCTTACATTTCTTGAGGATGCTTCATTGATGCCAACTGATCATAAGTACCTTCTTTCAGGTGAAGAAATTTAGTTGAAGAAAGAGAAATTCCAGTGCTTTCTGTAATAGAAAAAGATTCAAAACAAATGAGTGCTTTTTGAAAAAGGGGAACTCATCAAAGACTTTTGTGTATCTTGCTTCTTCTCTGCATTTGCTGCAGTGTATACGTTTTACCTTCTACTTGTTACATGTAGTTCAACAGCCACAGTTTGTTATCATGTTGGACATCAAAGAAAAATCAAAGAACAAACATTGCATGGAAATATCACGACATGGAGCATTTTGGATCCCTTAAGACCCACTTGTGGATAAAGTCTACTGAATACAGGTCAAAATCCCTGCTGTAATATTTTTCAGATTAGGTTTTCCAAAGTATAGTTCTCTGAACATTAGTCCTTTAAAAGTGTATGTACATCTATATGAGAATAAAAACACCAACGCAAAGAGCTTCTGTGTCCTAAATTTTGGACAGTGCTTCATATTTTAGCTCTTTCTTGGAGATTTATGATGAATATTAGCATATTAAAGGCTGATATTTTAATGCTTAGAGTTCAACAGTTAAAACATACAATCGCTTTATTCCCCAAAGAACAATATTTTTACTTGTTTGTTCCCCATACCAGATACTAAAAATCAGATTTTAGGATGAATTACTCTAAGGTTGATTTGCCAATAAAATCCATTAGTAATGAAGTATGTAACAATAAGGCACTTTGAGAACAACTTCGGATGACTACTATTTAAAAATGAAGGCTTCATTTATCATAGGTGTCAATTAAGCATGAATGCTGTTTTATTTGGGGGTTAGAGATACAACACAGAAGAATCAGAAAATATCAATCTCTCACCAATTTCTAAAACATTCTTATATGCCAGTATGCATGAAGATCTGCCTTTTCTGTTTTATAAGAAAAGCCCAAATCTAATGAATGGGAAGAAACTGAAATTGGAATATTGTTAATTATGCAGTGTGATAGCATTTTAAAAATGTATGATATTGAGTAGAAAAGTCAAGAGTGGATAATGGCACTGATGATGTTTCATAATTGTGATAATAGACATAGTCTTATGAAGCGATCCTATGGACCAATGTTGGCATCGTTTAAGGTTTTAAATAATCAGTATGAAATATGGATGAAATAGTTTACGATATTGAAAAGAACTAATAAGAACAACAGCCATGTCCTAAACGATCTCAGATTACTCCAGTAATATAGTCTTTATGTAGTTTGATAACAGATATTGCAATGATCAGCATACTAAAACAAAGTATGTAGTTGTAAAAGGGAAGACTTTGTACTATGCTTTAAAAATGGATTGAATCTTACTAGGTAGGTTATGATTTTATTATTTATTTTGAGTCAAAAAATAAATACTATACAGATTGCTTTTCATAGTTTTAGTTATAGACTTAAGGAAGGTGTTCTTAAAATAAAATGAGAACCAAATTACTATTAAAAAACAAATTAGGAAATCTTGATTTTAAAAATTCCATCACCAGGACATACAAAACAACAAACTAAAATGTTTTCTGGGAAATTATCAGTTTACTTTTAATGAAATATTTGTAATATTTAGTCATCTATATGGTAGTTAATGTCTTCCCAGTGCTGCTGGCTTTATTTTGCACTTTTAGTCTGTAGCTGAGAAAACACAGATCTTGAGTTTTTATAAGGAAGTTAAAATGCTGTAGAGAATTTTGGGGCTATTTTCAAGATTTCCATGAAAACAGAAAGCATTCATTAAACCAGTGAAATGATGCTCCTTATATTTGCTTGTCTTCAATTTTATTGTCTTTTGTGTTGTTTTTGTCTATTTAATATCTATAATGTCACCCTTATTTCCTTTATTGATAATTATATACTCATGTTAAAAATGACACTGTCCAGTTAGGGAATTGGAGAAATACAGTATTTAATCAGCAGAGCAGAAACAGCATTCTAGCCCGAGGACTATTACTGTTTCCTCCTATGATTTATGTGAGACTCCCCATATCTCAAATTGACTATAAGATAGTGAGAATGGAATTCATACTCGTTGAAATATTGATGCCTATATTACGGGTATGTAATAAGAAAAAAAGTTGTATTTCTTTTTTAGCATGTCACTATATGAGTACTCTTGTACTTTCCTGTATTATTATCAAAATGCCATTTTGGTAAGTTTTAGATTGTATCCATTGCCTCTACTACTGGATTATATCCACTAGATTTGTGGTATGAATTTATCACATATTAATATGAACCTGTTAAACTAATTTACTTCAAAATTTCTTCAGTTCTATTCGAGAGGATTAAATATTTGAATATTAGAGAAAAATTTCATTGTATTTTGTTCTTTGATAGTTTGCAGTTAAACTTCTTTCCATAGCAATATCTTTAATAGTGATTTAACATGTGCTATGAGAGAAATTGTATACTGAATATAATTTTTATTAAATTCTGTATAAATTGTGTTCTTAGAAATACCATCATACTACTCAAATATTTTAATATTTAAAGAATATTCAATTTATTTATTTCTTATAAAGCTATATCAGAGTAAAATTCCAGTTACATCTTATTTGGAAAAGCATTGCCTCAGTGATTAATGTGTAACCCCTCTTCAACCCAAAATAATGATGTATACCATGCACAACTCAATGTCAGGTGTTTGAATGGAACACAATTTTTAATTGTCTACTATTTGGTATACACTTATAACAGTGTACGTATATATCTATTAGAAAACAGGCAATAAATTTGTGTTTTAAAAGATACAAATACGCTGATGCCATAATTCTTTGAAAAGTTTGCCCTTTACTAACTTATTGTTTCCTAAAAGAAAAAGAAAATACAAGTTCTAAGCAACCCAAGGAAAATGTTCTCTGTTGAAAGATTTTGTGATTGTCATAGGAAAATAAAAAGAATAGAATAGTTAATTGAGAGATTTTAATGTCATTATCTTTTAAAATAATAACAGAACATTCTGTTCTAACAACTGATGTTGTTCAGTTTAGAGATTCTCTCAACTAACAAGTATGTAATTCTCTGAGTTTTATCTGGTTCAAGTTAGCATGTAATTCAGGTTTAATGACTTCGTATTTGTGACCTTTGCACTGATTTTAAATCACTCCTCAGGAACATTAGATTGTTTCTTTGTGGTGTTTTGGGATCTATCACTTCTAAGCAGCAAATATTTTCATGCTCAAATTATCACTTTTGTTTTACATAACACCTAGTTCTCTTTGCCTTCAAATTTCTCATATTTCCTGAATTTCCTTTCAGTGTATGTCTGTCTTAAGTGAGTTTATGGATGAGAAAAGATCAAACAAGGAATAAAAAATAATTCAGAGTTAAAATGTCATGAAGTATTAGAATAGGAGTGATAAAGATATCTTTGTTAAAAATTTTCAGAAAAGCAAACCAAGTTGCAAATTGATAAATAATAATAAAAATATTTTGAGTACCGGAAGACAATGGAAAAAATGCCTTTGAAATTTTTACTGAGGTTAATTCTAACCTAGATTTCTAGACTGTCAAATCTTAGTAAAATATAATGTTCAAATAAAAAGATAGTTTTAGACACACAAAACACAGGAAATTTATCTCTCGTATATCTTAGGATATTAATGGAGGATATCCGTCACCAAAACAAGGAAGCAATCTTAGGAAAAGAAGTACATGAAAAATGGGATCCACCTTTGGAAAGCATTAACACCAGTCAGTCTGAGAATAGTCTGACCAAAAACTCTATTAGACAGAAATTTAGGAAGTAAAGCAGCAAATAATGCTATGCATTTGAACGTTTGGAATAAAACATTTAAAGAATGCTAAACCAAAAACAAAACAAAACAAAAACCACAGTGTTTGGCTAGTTGGAGCATTAACTTCATAGAAATTTATATATTGAAATATGATTAAGTTATTAACTCCTGAGTTTAACTCCTAAGTTATATAAGAAATAAATATAAATGTAATAAACTATTTTGTACTACACCAAACCATATTTAGTCAAAATTAGGTAAATATTTATCAATGACTTATCCATAAATTTATATACTTATATTGGGAAGATGTAAAGAAGGGTTTTTAGCTTTAAATCTTTTGATAATACTTGACATTTGAAGAGTTCCACATTTTTTTAAAGGCAAAAAAAGTCCTCATTTTTTTATATCTCAAAAATTGCACCACCTAAACCTTTGTATCATTCACACAGCAGTTTTCCAACCTTTGTAATCAGCCCTATTCCCAAAATAATTCACTTTCTTTTCTGATCTTATTTTAATTTCAATTAAAAAATTAACACAAACCTTAAAATATTTGAAACCTATTTGTATTTTGATTAATCTTTAGGCAAATAACGGCTATATACAATTCATTTAAGATATTTGATTAGAGGGTAGTTAACGGCTTAATATTATAATTGCTGGAAAGATTGTGTTTAAATATAAAAATCATTTTAGATATTTTAACCTTTTTTAAAATAAAAGTTTTTTCAAAATTAATTTAAACTAGAAATAGTTTTACATACGTAAAAACAAGCCAATAATCAACAAACTAAAATTAATTTTAATGTATTTACAAAAGCATGACATTCAGCTTATTTTGTATGTTTTAGAAATATTTTATTGCATAAATATGTTTTGCTGGAATTTCATTAAAATAACAAACATGTATGCAAAACATTTAAAAAATTGCATAGAAAATCGATCAGACATACATAAAATCTCTATTGTAGCAATATACTTTACAGTTTTCAGTGATATTTCTAAAAGTACAATAAGGCTTTTTTCATTTAGCATTAATCAGCATTTAGAAGGGATATAAAGGGAATTTTTCAGAAGATTTTTTTCTGAAAAATATCAAAATTTGCCTATTTTGGATTTTTTTCTCAAATAAGCTGCATAGTTTCTCTCTTAATACAGAAAAATGCTGAACATAATTTATGATTTTTTGACGATGAAAAGTATTTTACAATATAACACAATGAAACCACGAGAATACTGAAGCCTGTAGAACATTATAATTCAATAAGCTTGGAACATTTACTATGTTCTTAATCATTTTATCCATATTAATGCTTTTTATGTCTTTTTCCTCTTTATCAGTGTGTCAGACATAGCTTCTATTTGTTGTCACTGTCCCTGATTCTATTACAATTCTACTCTGCCTTCTAAGTTGTCGGTTATTTCCTAATGTGGTAAAAAGACAAACAAACAAACAAGGTGACCAAATTTTCTTTTTAAGAACTAAATGCAAAACAAGTATAGATTATCTTTTAGTGATGGCTTAAGTCTTCTTCCATGTGTAATTGGCATAAGTTATAGCTCTCTAAGTGAATTATATTTAATAACAATTTTATGATCAATTTCACTTGTTTAAATTTCTTTATTTTTTTTTACCATTAGTGGTTAAACTTGTTGAATAAATGACCTTTGAAGACGTTAAAAATTTGAATAAATACCTGGAGCAAAAATTAAGAATAACTATAGACCTATTATATTTTAATATTAAGGAAAAGGTCTATCATGGGCAAAGACATGGCTGTCTCTTCAGTCGCTTTTATGGCGGGATGTAATTGAAAGGGTTTTTTGGTAAACATACTTGGCTGCCCACCTAGTACTCATCCTGATTTATCTTATGTTAACACAACTCTGGCATTCTTCGAATATATCTACTGAACCAGAATTTCCCACCCCTAACTGTGTGTTGGATTCATGTGGGAAACTCTAACACCATAGGAATGCCTTTTCCTTTTCCACAAAAAATTCTGATTTCATTAATTCAGAGCAAATCCAAGGTACCAGATTTTGTTTGTTTGTTTGTTTGTTTAGACGGAGTCTCACTCTGTTGCCCAGGCTGGAGTGCAGTGGCACAATCTCAGCTCACTGCAACCTCTGTTTCCAATGTTTAAGTGATTCTCCTGTCTCAGCCTCCAGAGTAGCTGGGATTACAGGCACATGCCACCACACCAAGCTAATTTTTGTATTTATAGTAGAGATGGGGTTTCACCATGTTGGCCAGGCTGGTCTCGAACTCCTGACTTCAAGTGAACCACCCACCTCCAACTCCCAAAGTTCTGGGAATTACAGGTGTGAACCACCGCACCCAGCCGGTATTGGTATTTTTTAAAAGCTCCTCAGAGGTTGAATTGTTTAGAAAAATTTGCAGATGAATATCTGATTCATAGCCCAATCTGCTGTCAGTGAAATGCTGATTGTTCAAGCCAAAGTTGTCTGTTTGAGATCAACTCAGTAACATGGTCTTTGTCAAGGCTCCAAAGACTGTGACACTAAAAGTTTTCCCAAACATACTAATTAAGCTTATCAGAAATGGTGCCACTTTATAGGACATCGTAGAAACAGGGCATCAACAGCCTCTGAAGGAGAGCAGCTATACTTGGTTCAATACAGAAAAACATGTGTTTAATTTTGGCATTGCTGTAAGCTGATTTTTCAACTTATAGTCCTCACCCTTTCCTAATTTTCTGGGCTCTATCATTTGGGCAGGCGTGTTTCTCTGCTTGTGTTTGTGGTCTTCCTTACTGAAGTGGGATACAATAGAATCTGTTCAGCAGCGTTAGGTACACAGCAAGAATGTGCCAAAAGCCTGGCCAACCTTGACCCTTCCACTAGCTCACTGAATGACCTTTGAACTCATTCTCTTTCATCTCCAAGATCCAGGCCATATATCCAAGAAAAAGGCTTAAAAATTTCCTCGTATGCTCAGTCTGTTATGGAAACAGAAGAGCCTCCATTTCTCTCCATTTTATCAAGAGCGTCCAAAACAGGTCTCCCTTTTGTTTGACCACCAGTAGACTCTTTTGGGGAACATTGGCAACCGTACAATACACACCTTCCTCATAAGCAAAGAAGGGGGCATTTGTACATCCCTAAACAGTGATTATTTCTGAAATATTTGTTCTCAGTAACTTAACAAGGGCATTTCACATTTTGTTACAGGTCCAAGTCACCTACTTTGTGTCACAGTTTCTCTGGATGTGCATGAGGTCATCATACCATCAGCAGATTCAGAAGCACACCCATGTTTGTACCCACTTCATAGTGTTATTGCAAGGGTTATATAAAAATGCTTAGAAAGTGCCCGGCACATTGTAATCTCCATATACATATGTCCTATCATTTCTCTAGTATTATTGTCAATAAGAGGGCCCATTTGCCTATCTGGTGTTTTCTACATGCTCTGATGACAACTATACTAATACTGTTGAAATCCTGCAATGACCCAGTCAGGAATCTTGACTACCAGGATAATTTTGGATTTGTTTTGCTCCAGGGCTGGACGATTTTTGTTTCTGGTTCCTGTGATTAATGGAAACCCTGTCTTAACTTCTTACCACTCCACTGCCTTCATCATTTTCAGTAATTGAAAAAAGTGAAAACAAAGTCCAATTCTATCAGAATGAGCTTGGAGTGGAGTGTCATTCAGCATTGCCTCTGCATATACCTGTTTTAATAGCCCATGTACATGCTTCTTAAATTGAAATATCTCCTTACCAGAACACTCTATACCAACTTTTCCAGGTTAGGTATAAATTCAATCCCTGAAAGAGATTTACAAGACTGATTTGTAAACCTTTATGGTTAAAAAAATTCCTAAAGGCTTTTATAAATGTCTCAGATATGTAGTCACAGTGATGTGTCATTTATCTAGCACGAATGTAAGATGTGAAAGGTGCCAATCAGCCATTTCTTCAAGTTTTAATCTCAACATCAAAGCAATATGATTATTGAAGCATCTTGGCATTGTGTCTTCACTGACACTTAAATGCCAGGGAGTCTGGTATCAAATTTCTGGAAAGCATCACTTGTTTCTGATAA
Organism: Homo sapiens; assembly: GCF_000001405.40. Lineage (NCBI taxonomy): Eukaryota > Metazoa > Chordata > Mammalia > Primates > Hominidae > Homo > Homo sapiens. Next base: position 145,624,879 of record NC_000007.14, read on the forward strand.
CTAATTGTTTCAGTTTTGGGAAGGCACAAAACCTTCCCAAAGTCTGACTCAATGTTATAGGCTATGTCTTATGACACATAGTCATACTGAGTTGCATTGAATTACATTAACCACAATGTCTTTTCTCTACAAGGAGAGGTTAAGTTTATTTTAGAAAAACAGAGACTGGGATAGAAGTCTTCAAAATTACTTTCGACTCCAATCCTTTCTTAATGTTCTGGAAATACCTGATAAATTAATGTTGCAAATTTCACTAAGACTGCATTGGTGTTTGGCAATGTCTATAAATTACCCTAAAATTTCTTGTGTTTTAAATAGATTTTTGAAGGATTTACATACACACATTTTAAAGCTAAATCTGAGTATGTTTCTTGAGACATGCATTGTGAGCTGTTTTATTACAGTGAAATAAACTGTTTGCCAAGCAATGCACTCTGTAAGCAAGTGTCTAGAACTTGCTTCTTTAAATTTATTAATACATAATAATTGTACATATTTATTGGTTACATGTGATATTTTCATATATGCATACAATATGTAATGATTAAATCAGGATAATTAGGATATCTATCACCTAAAAGCTTTGTCATTTCTTAATGTTGAGAACATTACAAATCCTTTCTTCTAGCCGATTTGAAATACAGAACAAGTTGTTATTAACTGTAGCCACATTAACTGTGACTAAAATTTATTTCTTCTATCTAACTGTATTTTGCCATCCTCTCTTCATCTTTCCTTCACCTCCATTCTTCCCAACCTCTGGTAACCACCATTCTCCTCTCTACTTCCATGAGATTAATTTTTTTTAGCTCCCACGTATGAGTGAAAACGTGATATTTTTCTTTCTGTGCCTGGCTTATTTCACTTAACGTTATGACCTCCAGTTCTATTTTTGTTGTTGCAAGTGACAGAACTTTATTCATTTTTATGGCCACGTAATATCACATTGTGTATATGTACCATATTTCCTTTATTCTTCTGCTGATGGACATTTAGGTTGATTCCATATCTTGGCGATTGTGAATAGTGCCGCAATAAACGTGAGACTGCAAATATCTCTTTGACATACTGATGCACTTACTATTAGGTATACATACAGCAGAGAGATTGCTGCATCAAATGGTATTCATATTTTTAGTTTTTAAAGAAATCTCCATACTCTTTTCCATAATTGCTATACTAATTTACATTCCCTCCTCCGATAGTGTACATGAGTTCCTTTTACTCCACATCCTCATCCTCATTTGTTACTTTTTTGGCTTTTTGATAATAGCCATTTTCACTGTGATGAGATGACATCTCCTTGTGTTTTTGATTTACATTTCTCTGATGATGAGTGACATTGAGCATTTTTTTCATATACTTGTTGACCATTTGTATGTCTCCAGATTTTTTAAGGCTTCTTTGGTATATTTTCAAACTCATTTTCAATTGGGTCCACTGTATTCTCCAAATCATCAGTTTTATAAGATTCTCTATATATTTTCTGTCATCCATTTTTTATTAATCTGAAATCTATCTCAAAAAAACTCAATGGCTCAAGTCCTAGGAGGTCCAGTTAGTCAGTGTGCCAGATACTTATCGTCAAGGATTGTCCACAATCTAGGATCACTCCCCTCTCTTAATAAGAACAGGACAGATTTCCTCCTCAAAACTAACGTGTAAGAACTATCTCCTTATTTATTTTCTAAAGCAAATAATTTGATTCAGTACCCATTTTCACGACTGAAAAATTCTCTATCTGGATGAGATAGGAATTTTTTCCTCTTCCCAGGTAATCTGGGGCACAGATAATTTTTGCAGCGCAGAAATACATTCCACAGGCTACATAGAAGAGCATTTTAAGTAAATTGGATTCTAGAACTTCAAATTCTATCCTGCTTTTTCGTAAAATGTTTCAGCCTGAGATTGTGCCATACAAAGAGGCATAATGCTTGTTTCCTTTCCCTTTTTCTCACTTTACAAAAATAAATAAATAAATAAATAAATAAACAAAGTAAAAAAAAGGCTCTGGTGTAAAACAGAGAAACACGTTTTTTTGGTGTTGTTTTTGTTTGTTTGTTTTTTGTTCAGAAAGAATACTTTAATTAAGGCAGCATTGTTTATCTCTGCATAATATGCCTTCTTGTTTCTAAAACGGCCTTAGAAAGAGTGTAATATGTTGGGATTTGAATAAACATTAGAGTAGGACAGCAGAGAAACTGGCAATGTTCATTTGGAAACTTAGTTCTTCCATTTACCAGCTTTTGTCACAAAATTACTCAGTCCTGAGAGAATCCCATGAAGGTGAAACAAAGTAGTTTCAGTAAGAAATATTGAAGATGGCAGCACACTATTTCATCTATTGAACATATCATGGGAAGTGTCTGTCTTATCTATCTTATAACTGGAATTCAGAAACGAGATGGTTGTCATAGGAATTCATATTAATATGTTTATTTGAGTTGAGAAATGAAGTCAGACTTTCTGTGACAGAAGGAATTCTGATCTGCTGATTAGTTTGAAAATATTGACTGGCTTTGCCAATTAGGTTATATGACTGGCATTTCCAAATTGAATGAAGTAAATCTGTAGGTCCAGGTTTTGACAAACATATATAATAAAGAGTGTAACAAGATTAAAACATTTTATCTAAAACATTTATTGGCAGAGATATTAAAATGAACAATATTTCAGTCTTCGCAAATCTTTCTGAGTGTATTGATTTATTCAAGGTGTGTCAAGGTGAAAGATTAACCTTATAATTAAGAGGTATATTTGCTAAGTCTCAGCAAAGTTTTATGTTATGGGTTATTAAAAAATATTCTCTAGAAATTGACAAGTGAATGACTCTAATTACAGAGTAATGAATTCAGTTGCAGGTAGGGGAATGTATGCACAGACCACGTCTAACATAATTTGAACTTGTCCATGTAACTGTCTATAGAAGGTTATTTAAAATATTTATCTCTTACTAAAAACTAATAATACATTGCATCCATTTAAACTGATGATGAATAATTTCCAATCCCAACTTAAACACAGTGCAATTTTTCTTTTTTAGTACAAACTAGCAAAAATATTTGAAATAACACTGTTCTGGAAAACAGAGCCCAGATTGTTGTGGGGGTGAGTGTGGAGCAGAAGACAGGTATGGGAAAATTGCCAAAATAGTTCTCTTTCTTTTATGATGAACCTATAGCAGAAAATAAGATATAGTTATTTTATTAATCAGGTTATTCTGCTGCAATGTGCTACTTAGAAGCATTTTTTGAGTTTTTGATTATTTTGTGTTAGTTCTTATTTATTCACATAAAATGTGTCTTATTTACTTCTTTTCAGAATCAGCTAAGATCATGTTTTCTTAGCATGTATTCTACAGGGATTTTTTTAAATTCATGAAACAAATAATCTTGATTCTTAATAGGTATGAATTATCAATATCTGTACACAATGGTGTACAGATACGCCATATCTGTACATGGTGAAATGTATAGCATATTTAATAAATGGACTAAATTTGGTAGAATACACCAAGCAAACAGTTCTATCAAATAAACACTGCATTTGCTATCCTCCATCACTTGGTGATGCCTTGGAGAGACCTCATTGATTTCTGCTCAGTTTCAACCACAGGTGGATACACAGATTTAGGTATTTGAAGTAAAACAAAGCATTATTGAATGTAATGGAAAAAATTATAAGCTACATCATTTGACAAGGTACAAATAGGAAAAATGCTTGCCAATCATACAGTAAAGAGCTAATCATACTACAGAGAGAACATCTAGGTACTGAGAAGAAAATACTACCAATCCAACCGAAAAATGGGCAAATTTATTAACAGAGAGTTTTTTAAATATATATATGGTCCTTAAACTATGAAGATGATTAATCTCAGTCTTAATTGCAAAGATGCAAATTAAAACAACACTAAGATATAATTTCTCACTTATCAAAATGGCAAAAATTCAAAAGTTTAACATGTTCTGTTACAGAGGCTCTGGGGAAACAGACACTCTGATATGTTATTGTAGGGCAAAGTGGTACTATTCCTATGGAAAAACATTTGGCAATATCTATCAAAATAAAAATTGCATTTACCCTTTGACACAACAATCCCAGCTCTGGGAATCTAGCCTAACTCTGAGACTCAGTTTTGTTGCAGTAATCAACAGGCTGGAGATCTCAGTGGTTTACAACAAACGCATTTATTTATTGCTTCTATTACATGAGGGCTGCAGGTCAGCTTTTGATTTGTCTGATGCCTTCTTATTCCTGGACCAGGGCTGAAGTGGCACCTGCTACCTGGGAAATGCTGTTTTCATGGCAGGAGTCAGAAGCTAAAGGGGAACAACAAGGGCTTCTGCAAGTTTCTGCTTGGCATTAGGACAGTGTTACTTCTGCCCATGTTCCATCAGACAAAGAAGTAATATGGCTAAAACCAAAGTTATCAGGGCAGTGATTTATATTCTGCCCACTGGGAAGCAATGCACAGTAACAGGGGGCAGTACTTGAGCATCTAATCCTATTAAAGGGAGGAAGGAAGGAATTGGAAACTATGCCTACGTGCGTGTGGATGATGTGAAATGTATACAAGGTGGTTCATTGCAGCATTTTTTGCAATAATAAGAGCATTGATTTATAAACATTTGTAGAGAGATATCAGACTGTCTCTCTCTCTCTCTGTCTCTCTGTCTCTCTCTCTATATATATAGCCTTTAAACTATGAAGATGATTAATTTCAGTCTTAATTGCAAAATGCAAATTAAAACAACACTAAGATATAATTTCTGACTTATCAAAAATGGCAAAAATCCAAAAGTGTAACATGTTTTGTTCTGAGACATATATGTGTGTGTGTGTGTGTGTGTGTGTGTCCTGTCTCTTAGAAGAATACATGGCCGACAGTAATGCTCTCTGTGCTCAGAATTTCTATGTCCAGCAGCAATTGTGCTTGAGTTATTTCAAGACTCAAAGTGATCTTTCCTGGACTACAGACCTTACATCATTTAAAACATGAAACTGTGCTTACAATGTATTCATTTAATAAATATTTATTGAAGGCCTGGTATACTACAGGCTGATTTACGTTGAAGAAATATACTAGATCAGGTATGTGCAATGGTTAATATTAGGTGTCAACTTGACTGGATTGAAGGATGCCTAAATGGCTGGTAAAGTATCTTTTCTGAGTGTGTCTGTGAAGGTGTTGCCAGAGGAGACTGACATTTGCATCCGTGGATTGGGAGAGGAAGACTCACCCTCAATGCGGGTGGGCACCATCCAACTGGCTGCCAGCACAATAAAAATAAAGTAGGCAGAAGAAGGTAGACTCACTTTGTTTGCTGGATCTCCTGGCTTCCTTCTTTTTCCCGTGCTGGATGTTTCCTCCTGCTCCTCCTGCCCTTGGACATTGGACTCCCGGTTCTCTAGCCTTTGGACTGTGGGACTTACACCAATGGCTTGCAGAGGGGCTTTCGGGCCTTCAGCAACAGACTGATGGCTGCATTGTCGGCTTCCCCTGGTTTTGAGGCTTTTGGACTAGGACAGAGCCACTACTGTCTTCCCTCTTCCTAAGCTTGCAGACCAGTTGTGGGACTTTGCCTTATGATCATGTGAGCAAATTCTCCCTAATAAACCTCCTTTCATACATACATATATCCTATTAGTTCTGTCCCTCTGGAGAACCTTGACAAACACAGTACATATAATAGATACAATTAATCTACAGAGATAAAAAAGTTAATGTCATTCAATCCCAGCTTCTTCTGATTCTTCCTTTTTCAATCTGCCCTAGCCCAGGTTATAGGCATGGGGATTTAACAGCAATAAAGGGTGGTTAGGCTTTTGACACAAGGAACTGGGCGTTTGTGACAAGAAACTCTTTACAAGACAATAAATCAATCTAAAGAGTGTCTCTGAGATGTTTGGGACTAATATTATTACTTCAGGAATATCTGTGGAAATTCCTATCACCAGAGAAAGGACAGCATAAGCCTTCTAAAGCTTTTTTTTTTTGAGAATTCCAGACACGAGAAGGCTCTGAAGGAGTATTGTAATTTGGGAAAATGAGCAGAACATTTGTAAGGGCTTTAGAAATAGAGAATCGGCAAAATTCCGCTTGTTTTAGACATAGTTGGTCAAGGGCAGTTCTTAAAAGAGAGAGAAATTGTGTGTGTGGATTAGAAGCCACTGTTTGGGTATTTTGTAGAAGAATAATTGGGGGCTAAAGTCATGTTACAGAACAGTTATGAAAGAAAACTATTCCAGATCAGGACATAAGAGAGACACAATGAAAGGTTCACATTCATTTAGCATTTATCAACATTTATTAGTACGAGAATATTCATGTTCTCTTGATAATATTAAGAATAGGATTCCAGGTATCTGCTGGAAGCAAATTCTTGACATTTATTGATTCAAGACATTATTACCAAGAGATGGTTTTTTGTTTGTTTCTTTTTGAGACAGAGTTTCTCTCTGTCACCAAAGCTGGAGTGCAGTGGGGCAATCTTGGCTCACTGCAACCTCAGCCTTCCCAGTTCAAGTGATTCTCCTGCCTCAGCCCCCTGAGGAGCTGGGATTACAGGTGTGTGCCACCAAACCCAGCTAATTATTTGTATTTTTAGTAGGGACAAGGTTTCACTATGTTGGCCAGGCTGGTCTCAAACTCCTGACCTCAAGAGATCTGCCCGTCTTGGCCTCCCAAAGTGCTGGAATTACAGGCATGAGCCACCGCGCCCAGCCAAAGTGATGGTTTTTGAATAGGGGTTAGCAAACTATAGCCCTAGCCTACTGCCCATTTTGTAATTAAAGTTTTTTTTTTTTCTATAGATTTTGGAGGAACAGGTGGTATTTGGTGACATGAGTAAGTTCTTTTAGTGGTAACTTGTGAGATTTCCCACCTTTTCCCCTGAGTGCCCAAAGTTCATTGTATCATTTTTATGTCTCTCCAATCCCATCCAGGTTGCAGTAAATGCCATTAATTCATTCCTTTTTATGGCTGAGCAGCATTCCATCTCATATATATATATATGTGTGTGTGTGTGTGTGTGTGTGTGTGTGTGTGTATACATACACACACACACACATATACATACACATGACTTTTCCTCTGTGTATATACTATGGTATATATACCACAGTTTCTTTATCCACTCATTTATTGATGGGCATTTGGGCTGGTTCCATATTTTGAAATTGTAAATTGTGCTGCTATAAACATGCATGTGCAAGTACCTTTTTTATGTAATAACTTCTTTTCCTCTGGGTAGATACCCAGTAGCGGGATTGCTGGATCAAATAGTAGTTCTACTTTTAGTTCTTTAAGGAATCTCCATACTGTTTTCCATAGTGGTTGTACTACTTTATATTCCCACCAGCAGTGTAGAAATGTTTTGCAATTCAAGTTTTATTAGAGCATAGCTACAGTCATTTATTTACATATTGTCTGTGGCTATTTTCACAATACTATAGCAGAGTTGACTAGTTGACACGTTATCTGATGGCATACAAAGCTGAAAATACTTACCATCTAGCTCTTTGCAGACAGAGTTTGCAGGCTTCTGTTCTAGAGGGCAGTAGGTTGGTGGTTCTATTAGTCAGCTCAAGCTGCCATACAAAGTGCCAGAGACTGGGTGGTTCAAACAATAGAAATTTTCTCACAGTTTTGGAGGCTAGAAGTCCAAGATCAAGGTGCTTTCAAGATTGGTTTCTGGTAAGGCCTCTTTTCCTGACTTGGAGATGGCCTCCTCTGTCTGTATCCTCACATGATCTTTCCTCTGTGCATGCAGCCCTCTTGCTCTTCTTAGAAGGCCACCTGCCCTATCAGATTTGGGCCTTAGCCTTATGATCTCATTTAACCTTAATTACCTGCTTAAAGGTTCTACCTCCAAATATAGTGACATCGTGAGTTGAGACTTGAACATATAAATTTTGGGGAAACCACATTCTGTCCGTAACAGTAGTTCTAGCCTCCATTCAGGGAGCACATGGGAGGCTCATCTCTGTGAGTACGTCACATATTGGGACTTGGCTAAGGGTTTTCCAATCCCAAAGAGTTAAAATAATGTATTATTATAGACTCAAGCAAAACTAAAAGAAGCAGGTTAACAGCATTTGACCTGTTCTCTCCAATTTTATTTTTTCCCTTTTGGAGAACTCTGAGAAAGACCCTTTGGAAATTCTCTTTATGTTCATCTTGGTCTGATTCTCTTTTCAGATTTGTTTCATAGTTTTTCCTTCATGATGTATCACTATGTTTCATGTTCCCTCTCTGTCTCTCTCTCTCCTCCCTCCCCCTCTCTCTCTTAATTTGAACTATGCAATTTATTCAGCACTTGATATTCCAGACCACCACTAATTATGCTCTCAGCAATGTCAACCTTCTTTTCAGTTCATCTATGGAAATTTTATTTAAAATAGTCAAAAATTCTGTAAAGTCTTTTGTGTGTGTGTGCTTTACATATCTAAACGTATCTATACATTTTACACATCTATGCATATCCCTGAATATTCTAAGTTTTATTCAGACTTTTCCTTCAGTTCTAATTAAAAAGGCATCCCTTTGTCCTAGATATTTATCTTGATTTTCATCTGTTATGTTTCTGCTTTTCTGATGTGTGCATTTCTCTTTGTTTATCTTTTGTCTTCCTGTGATCATTTTGGTAAAGCACATTGATAAGATCCAGGCCATAAGATGGTGAAAACACCAACATTTCTTCTCTTGAGGGTTATCACTAATTTTGATATGCCAATTTTTCCTACCATCTTCAGAAACAAAAAATAAAAATCTAGTCTTCCAGGGCAGTTCCTTATCTTAGTGTTCATAGAATTGATGAGTCATGCTAGAGGCATCAGCATGAAGGTGACTGATAAAACTCTTTCCCAAAAGGGTTTGCAAGGTTCTCTACTAGACTCTGCAGGAGTTAAGAAAGTAAACCTTCTGCCTTAAGCAGTGTTTCTCTAATTTGTTTGCGTATTAAAATAACCCAGGCATTCTTTAAAATATCCAATGCTCAGGTCATACCCAAGGGCGATGAAATCAGAATTTCTAGACATGGAACCTAGACATCGGTACTTCTTATAGCTCCCTAGTTGATTCTAATGTGTAGAAAAGTATTGAAAGTTCTGGCCAAAGAGCTCCAGAATAAGCAGTCCCTCTCTTCTGCCACTCATAACCACCTTTGACCTCCCCCTGCACCAATATCTATTCAACTAGTAGATGGCCTCAGTTTAGGCTCTTATGTTCCTTCAGAGACAGATGGGGAGAAGGGCTGGAAGAGTGTTGAGTTTTTTCTTTCTTAGAATTTGACATTCCGTAGATGTTCTCCCTCTCTCTCTCTCTGACTCTCTGTCTCTCAACTGCCTGTAAAAGATGACACACATAATGTCTTTATTAATTTATTTTTGGCAAGCAACTCAGTTTCTCTCATTTAAGATAACATTCTTTGATTCAGTGTTTTCATTTACTAAGTACTTGGACAGCTTTCTTGCTCTCATGAGATATTTTTCAAGTACAGAAAATTTGAAGAGGAAGCCCTATGATTTATATTCTATATGCCAAAATGTTAGAATTATTTTTTAACTTCTGGCCTAGAATTCTTTTTAATTTAACTTACTTAGTATATTTAATTTATACACATAAATAAAATGAAATAATTTCTCAAAATGACAGTTTGACACATTCCTACCAATTTTCATATCTCATGATATACTTATTTCATTCAGTTTGTCATGGAAGCACTTCAAGTATTTTTCTTCATCCCTCTAATTTATTTTTATTTTTATTGATTTATTTTTTATTTTTTTTAAATTTTTTTTTTGAGATGAAGTCTCACTCTGCTGCCCAGGCTGGAGTGCCATGGCGGGATCTCAGCTCACTGCAATCTCCGCCTCCCAGGTTCAAGCAATTCTCCTGCCTCAACTTCCCTAGAAGCTGGGATTACAGGCGCCCGCTACCACCCTTGGCTAATTTTTTTGGATTTTTAGTAGAGACGGGTTTCACTGTATGTTGGTCAGGCTTGTCTTGAACTCCTGACCTCTGGTGATCCGCCCCGTCAGCCTCAGACTCCCAAAGTGCCGATTACAGGTGTGAGCCACCGTGCCCGGCCCATCCCCTAAATTTTTAACACTGCTTCTTTTTAAATCTTCTCTAACCCTTAATGAACCATTGCTAGATATACTTTAAGAGTCTGGGAATCTCATTGCTTACTTTTTTTTTTTTTTTTTTTTTTTTTTTTTTTCTGAGACAGACTCTTGCTCTGTCGCCCAAGCTGGAGTGCAGCGGTGCGATCTCGGCTCACTGCAAGCTCAGCCTCCCGGGTTCGCACCATTCTCCTGCCTCAGCCTCCCGAGTAGCTGGGACTACAGGCACCCGCCACCACGCCCGGCTAATTTTTGTGTTTTTAGTAGAGAAGGGGTTTCACTGTGTTAGCCAGGATGGTCTCGATCTCCTGACCTCGTGATCCTCCCTCCTTGGCCTCCTGCTTAGTTTTTAATTTAAGAAAATATTCAGCCTTTATATTATTATTTCACCTAAATTATTTAATCTCTTGAGGATACATCAAATGAGATACAATGAGCCATTCTCTTTTATTAAACGGTGGTATTGCTTTAGAACTAAAACAATCAGTATGATAGATTTTCCATCAATGATTTGAAAAATATTAAAGTGACAACACATATGTTCTTGTTGTATTTGCAACCTTCTACCCTTAGAGAAATCGACAACTCTTTGCTCCTAGCAAATTTATAAGGTGAAAACTTGGTAACTATAACACAGTGAATTCATCTGTTTCCCAAGAATTGTCTACATTATGAGCACACACGGTATTCTAGAAGCCCAGCAGAGCACATTCAAGCAGATTTCTTGCAACTCATATTGGAAAAGACAATTATCCCCAGGCAGCATAAGGGCTTACAGCAGGGGGCCAGCAAACTTAATGCTACTACACATATGTATTATTTGCTGTTTGCATATCAAAAGCAATTTCTTTGACACATATATTGCTTGTTTGTTAGTTGATTTGTTAAACTATGGAATAATTCAATAGACGAATGGCTAAATGATAGTAATCACACTTCTTTACTTACTTTTTGTTGATTTTAAGCTATCTTATTTAAAACATTTCTTAAAAGAAGTAAAAATTCTAGTCTCATAACTTCATATAAATTGGAAATTAAAATACAAGTAAACATAATGCAATAATTTCCAGTGGGGCTTTGAAGAGCCTAGAAGAAGTATTACATTTTTGTTTTGAGAACTACGTATTCAGTGAGAAATTATTCTGGAAGCTAGAATGCGCTTTTTTTTTTTAATTTTTTATTTTTATTTATTTATTTTTTTGAGACGGAGTCTCGCTCTGTCGCCCAGGCTGGAGTGCAGTGGCGCGATCTCGGCTCACTGCAAGCTCCACCTCCCGGATTCACGCCATTCTCCTGCCTCAGCCTCCCGAGTAGCTGGGACTACAGGCGCCCGCCACCACGCCCGGCTTATTTTTTGTACTTTTAGTAGAGACGGGGTTTCACCGTGTTAGTCAGGATGGTCTCGATCTCCTGACCTCGTGATCCGCCCGCCTCGGCCTCCCAAAGTGTTGGGATTACAGGCGTGATCCACCGTGCCCGGCCTACAATGCACATTTTTATTGTCATGTGTTAAGTTGAAGATTGGTACTCTGTAATCGATACAATATAGTTTTATATATATACAAACTAAACTTTGAAAAGTTTTTAGTAAATTGTGTCATTACAATTGACTCCTAATACGTTCAAAAACTGATTCATAATAGTCAGCCAGACGTCACAATCTTTCAATGCTACTGCTCCTATGCTCTTTCTCAGTTATGATATGCAACCCTCAGTCAGGAAAGTGTGTATAGCAACTGCCCAGGATCCACTTCACTCAGAATAAACAACGCAATACTGGGTCTGATCTTAACTTTTTCCTCTAATGTGGTCACACAAGATACTCCGTTATCATATGTGCTGGCAAGACTGACACAGTAATATAAGGCAGAAATATCCAGGTTCACTCTGTCTCCTCTATTTCTCCTTTGAACAATAATGGAAATAAATAATTGTAGTTAGCCCACATTACCATAAAGAGAAAAGTAAAACCATTTTTCTTTTCTATGACTTCTACTGGGATTAAAAACTACTTTTTTAATAAAAGCATAGTTAACATTTACATCGCATACAAGTCTTTTCCAGATTATCTTTTTCTCTAGATGACCCCTAAAGAGTTATCTTAGTTATATAGAGAGAAATTTTCACTTCAGCAGTCATTTTCTGAAGGATATTTCATGCTGAAATGTCTTTGAAGTATCATTTTTCATCAGCCCTCTAAACCTATTGAAAATGTCTCCACAGTACCTGAAACATTTTCTCTGTTGAAATATATCATTTTACATTACTCAGATGTTCTGAAAATTCATAAAGTAGCAATCATAATTTATTGAAATTTCTTTCTGCCAGTCAGAAATGAATAAAACTATATAGTGCATTCAAGAGGAAACAGAAAAGAAAAATGAAAAGAGTAACATCAGTACCTTTAGTTTAGAAGTAACGTAAGATTGTTTTTGGTAAACAATATCAGCAGTTTTCCATAATTCTAGTTTTTATTTCAAGCTGGTGAAACACTGAGCCTAGGATTGTGTGGCAAACTTTATACTGCAGATCTCTAATAGGCTTGCTGTTTTAATTTAAACAACAATTATTTAATATTCGTCCACTGCACACAATGGCTTGACAGTGTACATACAGCCTGGCTTCCTGAAAGTTACATTAGAAGTTGTCAGAATGGTTTTTTCATCATCATGAAATTTATTTAATAACATATTTTTAATAGCCTTTGTCTTTTATTCTTCTCTCATTCGTAATAGAGTAAATGTTTCTTCTTTTATCAGAGATTGGATCTTGCCTTTGGTGGTTAAGCTCTTTTCTTTTATGTCTTCTCAGGAATTTTGTTCACCCTTCTGGTCGTCTTTCTACACTGCTTCCCTCGTTACTGAGTTCTCAACAGGGCTTGTTTCCTTCCCCTCTGGCTGCCTTTTTTCCTCCTTAAATCTTACTTGCTGCCCATCTCCTATATTTACAACCTTTATTTAATAAAACGTTATGTACCAGAATACCACTTGTTCACCTCAATTTATTTAAAACATCTATTAAAGTTATACATAAATATGGTAAAATATCAAAAAGCGTAGGGTAAATAAATAAGAAGCAATAAACCTAAACTTTCCTACCACTAATCCTATATAATACAAGCAAAAATATATATAACAATGTTTCTGTATTTTTTGACAATATGCTTATATGATTTTTAAATGTTCAAAAGTTTATTTTTGTTATAATTTATAGTAATTCACCTCATAGACACCAGTCCTTAATTAATGATATAATTATAGCACCATCTCTATACTTTAATTCTTTCATGATTTATTTAAACCATTTTCTTATAGCCTGAGCTTTACATTGAATATTTTTGCTCTTCACCTTTTATTTTATTTCGAGACAGTCTTGCTCTGTCACCCAGGCTGGAGTGCAGTGGGCAGTCTCAGCTCACTGCAACCTCCACCTCCCAGGTTCTAGGAATTCTCATGTCTCAACTTCCTGGGTAGCTGGGATTGCCGACATGCACCACAACACTCAGCTACATTTTTTTGTATTTTTAGTAGTGATGTGATTTCACTATGTTGGATAGGCTGGTGTCGAACTCCTGGCCTCAAGTGATCTGCCCACCGTGCCCTCTTCACCTTTTAAAATAAGGTTTTCAGTGCCTCTATCTTTGCTTTTGCCTCTCCTCACTACGTTTTAGCTTCTGTGATTTGTCAGTGGTGCATTCACATAAAATTGATAGCATTTACATTTTTGTCTTTAAATATTCTCCATCCTTAGCTTTGATGCTGATAGTAATAGTTGGAAGCCTGCAAAGAAATATTCAGTATGATGACACTATTATTAACGTTTCACAGCCTCTATGTCACATGGTTAGGATGTATTTCTGCTATTAGTTTAAAGTAGGTTATTTTATCTTATGCTTCACAGGTTACTCAAAATTTTGCCACAAACAAGTTTGTTTCATATTTAAAACATTCTTCTAGTAAAGTATTTGAAACTCACTTGTCGTGGTCCACTTTGTGCTGCTATAACAAAATACCACCAACTGGGTAATTTGTAGAGAACAAAAATTTATTTTTCACAGTTCTGGAAGATAGGAAGTCCAAGATAAAGGCACCAGCAGGCTCATTGTCTCATGAGGGTTCGATCTCTGTTTCCAAGATCCAAGATGGCTTTTAGAACACTGTATACTCCACGTGTTCACATATGGTGAGAGGCAGAAGGAGAAGAAAGCCAAAGGCTGCATGAAGCCTTATTTATAAGGGTCTTATTTCCATTTACCAGGGAGGAGTTTTCATGGCCTAATCACCTCTTAAAGGCACCACTTCTTAATACTATCATTGGCCATTAAGTTTCAAAACCTAAATTTTAGAGAGGATACATTCAAACCACAGAGCCAGTCTTCATTTCCATATCCAGTAACATTCTTTATAAATCTGGAATGGTTGATTCATAATTAAACATGACTCATATTCCACCTTGGCAATTTTCTTCCCTGCAATCTTGGATTGATTCCTGTTTTTTATTCCATGTCTTTGTCTTTCTTGGGTTAGTGCTTTCTCTACCTTCTCCTTTTCCTCCTTCTTCTTCTTTGGGCTATGTATCCTTAAATCACTTCTTTAGAAAAACAGCATGAGAAGTACTTTCTAAATACAGGCATACCTCAGATATATTGGGGGTTGTGTTTCAGGCCACCATAATTGTGATAAACTGAATATCACAAAAAGGTAAGTCATGCAAATTTTGTGGTTTCCCAGTACATATAGAAGTCCTTTCCCCATTGCTTGTTATTGTTGATTTTGTCAATGACCAGATGATTGCAGGTGTGTAGCTTTATTCATGGGTTCTCTGTCCTGTTCCATTGATCTATGTGTTTGTTTTTGCATCAGTACCATGCTGTTTTGGTTACTGTGGTCTTGTAGTATAGTTTGAAATCAGGTAGTGTAATACCACTGGCTTTGTTCCTTTTACTTAGAGTTGTTTTGGCTATTCAGGCTCCTTTTTAGTTCCATATGAATTTTAGAATCCTTTTTTTCCCCCTTATTCTGTTAAAAATAATGTTGGTAGGTTGATAGGAATAGAGTTGACTCTAAATTGCTTTGGGCCATTTGACCATTTAAAAAATATTGATTCTTTTGATCCATGAGCAGTGTATATTTTTCTATTTGCTTGTATCATCTATGATTTATTTCAGCAGTGTTTTATAATTCTCCTTGTAGAGATCTTTCACCTCCTTGGTTAGATGTATGCCAAGGATATGTGTGTGGCTATTGTTGGTGTGATTGTATTGTTGATTTGATTCTCATCTTGAATATTATTGGTGTATAGAAATGCAACTGATAATTGTATGTTGATTTTGTATTCTGAAATGTTATTGAAATTGTTTATCAGATCCAGGAACATTTTGGTGAAAACTTTAGGGTTTTCTAGGTATAGAATCATATCAGTGAAGAATGATAATTTGAGTTCTTCCTTTCTTATTTGGATGCCTTTTATTTCTTTCTCTCACAACACAGTACTTCTAGTAGAAGTGGTGAGAGTGGGCATCCCTGTCTTATTCCAGTTCAAAGGGGAATGAGTCCAGTTTTTCTTGTTGGCTGTGGATTTGTCATAGATGGCTCTTATTATTTTGAGGTATGTTCTGTCCATACCCAGGCTGTTGAAGGATGAACATATGAAGGGATGTTGGATTTTTTTTTTTTTTTTTGAGACAGAGTCTTACTGTCTCCCAGGCTGGAGTGCAGTGGCGCGATCTTGGCTCACTGCAAGCTCCACCCCCCGGGTTCATGCCATTCTCCTGCCTCAGCCTCCCTAGTAGCTAGGACTACAGGCGCCTGCCACCACACCTGGCTAATTTTTTTTTTTTTGTATTTTTAGTAGAGATGGAATTTCACCATGTTCGCCAGGATGGTCTCGATCTCCTGACCTCATGATCCTCCCGCCTCGGCCTCCCAAAGTGCTGGGATTACAGACATGAGCCACCGCGCCCGGCCAAAGGGATGTTGGATTTTAGGAAAAGCTTTTTCTGCATCTATTGAGATAATCATACAGCTTTTAGCTTTTGCTTTTAATTCCGTTTAGGTGGTGAATCACATTTATTGATTTGTGTGGTTTAACTGGGCCTGCATCCCAGGAATAAGGTCTACTTGATCATGGTGAATTAACTTTTTGATGTGTTTCTGGATTTGGTTAGCTAGCATTTTGTGAATTAGCCTGTAGTTTCCATTTTTGTTTTGTTTTGTTATGTCTTTGCCAGATTTTGAATTGAGAGTGATTGTGCCTTTGTAGAATGAGTTAGGGAGGAAGCCCTCCACCTCTACTTTTTGGAATAGTTTCAGAAGAATAGGTACCAACTCTTCTTGTACATCCGGTAGAATTTGACTGTGAATTCATCTGGTCCAGGACTCTTTTTGGTTAGTAGATTTTTTTATTACTGATTGAAATTCTGAACTTGATTTTGGCCTGTCCAGGGTTTCGATTTCTTTCTGACTCGGTCTTGGGAGATCATGTGTTTCCAGGAATGTATCCATATCCTCTAGGTTTTCTAGTTTTTGTGCATAGAAGTGTTTATAATAGTCTCTGAGGATCTTTTGTATTTCTGTGGGATTGGTTGCAGTGTAACCTTGGTCATTTCTAATTGTGCTTATTTGGATCTTCTGTCTTTTTTCTTAATCTACTTAGTGATCTATCAATTTTGTTGATTCTTTTAAACAAAAAGCTTTTGGCTTCATTGATGCTTTTTATGTATTTTGGGATCTCAATCTCATTCAGTTCTGCTCTGATTTTGGTTGATTCTTATACTCTGCTAGCTTTGTGATTGGTTTGTTCTTGTGTTTCCCATTCCTCCATTAGATTGCTAATTTTAGGTATTTCTAACTTCTTGAAATAGGCATTCAGTGCTATAAACTTTCCTCGTAACACTGCATTAGCTGTGTCCCAGAGATTTCTGTAGGTGTTCCTCTGTTTTTATTTATTTCTAAGTTATTAAAAAATTTTCTGCCTTAATTTTGTTGTTTACTCAAATGAGCAAGTTGTGTAATTTCCATGTTATTATAGTTTTAAGAGATCCTGGTATTGATTTGTATTTTTATTCCACTGTGGTTTCAAAATATAGTAGGTATGAATATATTTTGAATTTTCTGAGACTTGTTTTACAGCAAAGCATGTGGTCAGTCTTAGAGTATGTACCATGTGCAGATGAAAAAAAAAATGTGAGCTTGGTTTCTTGAAGACAGCAGATGGATGGGTCTAGTTTTCTTATCCAATGTTTCACTTTGTGCCTTTTAAGTAGGGTGTTAAGACCATTTACATTAAAGGTTAATATTGATATGTAAGATTTTGATTCTGTCATAAACTTGTTAGCTGTTTATTTTGTGTTTCCTATTGTGTAGTTGCTTTAAAGTGTTTGTGGGCTATGCGCTTAGCTGTGATTTTGTGGTAGTGGACATTGTTCTTTCATCTCCATGTTTAGAACTCCTTTAATGATCTCTTGTAAGACTGGTTTAGTGGTAATGAATTCCTTTAGTGATTGCCTGTCTGAAAAAGATTTTATTTCTCCTTCACTTATGAAGCTTAGTTTGGCAGGGTATGAAATTCATGGTTGAAGTTCTTTGAGGATGCAGAAAATAGGTCCCCCAAAAGGTCTTCTGGCTTGCAGGGTTTCTGCTGAGAAGTATGCTGTTAGCCTGATGGGGTTCCCTTTTTATGCAGTCTGATCTTTTTCTCTAGCTGCTTTTAAGATTTTTTAAAATTTCATTTTGACCTTAGACAGCTGAGTGACTACATGCTTTGGTGATGTTTGTTTTGTATAGTATCTAGTAAGCGTTATCTGAATTTCTTGTATCTGGGTGTCTACCTCTCCAGCAAAGTTAGGAAAATTTTTAAAAATTATTCTCTCAAGTACATTTTTTGGATTGCTTACTTTTTATCTTGCTCTCTCCCTGTAGTGCCAATAATTCTTAGGTTTGGTTGCTTTACATAATCCCATATTTCCTGGATACCTTGTTCAAGTTTTAAAATTCTTAGTTCTTTATTTTTTTCTGACTGGTTTAGTTTGAAAGACAATTTTCAATTTCTAAAATTCTTTATTCTGCTTGATTTAGTCTATTGATAAAACTTTCAATTGCATTTTGAAGTTCCTTAAGCGAGTTATTCAGTTCTGGTAGCGCTGAATGCTTTCTTTATAAGATCTTTACCTCTTCCTTTACTTCCTGAATTGTTTTACAGGTTTCTTTGTGTTTATTTTCAAGCTTATCTTGGATATTGTTCAGTTTTCCTGGAATTCATGCTTTGAATTCTCCATCTGACATCTTATGCCTCCATTTAGACTAGGGACCATTGCTGCAGAGCTAGAGTGAGCCTTTGGTGGTCATAAGTTCAGATTTTTAATGGTGGTAGAATTCTTATGCTAATTCCTTCTCATCTGGAGAGGGTTCTGTTGGGTTGGGTCTTTTAACTTTGCTTTTGTAGTCCTATGCACTTCTATCAGCAGGTTTTGTATTGGGCTGTGCAGTTTGACCTACAGGCCAGTAGATGATATTTGCAGATAAGAGCCAGCTGCCGTACGAGAAGTTGGGTATTGATCTGATCTTTGTTTTATATGAGGCACCTTCTGTTATTTCAGGTGAAGGGTTGGACAGTGGGATGCCCTGTGTCCTGAGCTTCCTGTCCCATGGGGGTGGTGGTTAGGGAGCTGGAGCCCCTGGTTTGCCCATGAATATCCCAATGGAGAATGCAGGCACCAGCCCTAACAAGGGTGACTGGGGGTGAGCTCCTGGTGAAATGTGCTGAGGTCTCTGCAGGAGGAGTGAGGAGGCTGCACTGGCTTCCTATTCTAGATAGGCAGCAATACAATCTGTTTCCCTATCACACCTTTGTTTCAAGGCTCATAACTCCCAGTTCAGACACACATTATAGTCTATCTCTGGCCCATAAGGTGATTGAGAGCCACAGGAAATGCCTATTTTGCAGCTCTCTGTGGGAGTGATTTTAGAACATAATCTCATCACTCAACTCGATACAGATAGGTTTAAATCTCACCTGTTCTCCAATGTGGCAGTACTGTTGCTTTTTGTGAAGTGCAGGGAGGGGGATCCACCTTTGGACCCATGTGAATGGGTGTTGGTTGTGGTGGTGTCAGCTGCTTGGGTTGGTCTAACCTCAGGCCCTGAGAAATGTGGTCAGGTGCCAGCAGACTTAGGATGGGGTAGGTAGTTCTCCAGTTCCCAGGCTCCTACATGGCTTGCTGGACAGCATGTATGAGTCATAAAGGGGCTGGATTGGGGTCAGGCTAGCCCCAAGTTCAGGAGCTGGCTGTGTTGTGGGGGCAGGTGAGCTAGTCCCCGGGTCATCAACCAACGTCTCAGGCAGGGGCAAGTGGAATTCTGAGGTATTGGGAATTTAAGAAAATTCTACATGTTAAATGTTCAGCCAGGTGGTTGTTCTATGGGCCTTTCACTGGAGAGGGCAGAAATCCTCAGCTGCATAATGAAGACTAGCAGCTATGGGACATGTGACACACTTGCACTTCTCTCCCATCCAAATGATGACGAACTTCACTGTTGGGATCACTTGAAGGTGCCAAGCATTGTCTGTTATGTCTGGGAGTTTTGTCCCACGGGAATGCAGAGTCATCACCCACCGCAATGTTCACAAAGGGGTGGGACTGCTGAGCTGGAAACCTGAGCCTAGCCTTGCCTGACTCAGAAGTGGGACAGAAGTCTCACAGTTTGTCATCTGTAAGTTTCTCCAGGGGAATGCTGTGCTGTGCCCACCAGCAGAATTTAGGTGGGCGCAAAGTCACTGCAGTGGAAGTCTGAGCAAGGAAGAGCAGGGCATTGTGACCACTCCTCTGCACCATGACTACAGCCTCTACTGGGGCTGTGGAAGCTGGTGTCAGGCTGCTCGGGGATCCAAGTCCTGTGGGCTCCACATAAGCTTGAGTGGTGCCTATGCAAAAAATGCCAGAGGGGCCAGATGTGGTGACTCACGCCTGTAATCCCAGCACTTTGGGAGCTCGAGGAGGCGGATCACAAAGTCTGGAGTTTGAGACCAGTCTGGCCAACACAGTGAAACCCCATTTCTACTAAAGATACAAGAATTAGCCGGGTGTGGTGACACACACCTGTTGTCTCAGCTACTTGGGAGGCTGAGGTGGGAGAATCACTTGAACCCAGGAGGCGGAGGTTGCAGTGAGCGGAGACCACGCCGTTGCACTCCAGCCTGGGTGACCCAGTGAGATAACGTCTCAAAAAAAAAAAAAAAATGCCAGGAGGCCCTTTGTGTTGGTCTAGAGGCCTAGGGGATGGGGGTTGGGAGGTTTGCTCATACCCAGGATTGTGAAGGTGCATGTGGGAAGTGCAGATTTCTTGGGGACTCTCACTTACTCATCCTTTCCCCATGTTAGAGAGTTTCTCCTGGCCCCACGCTGGTTTCAGGTCAGTGACTGCCTAACTTCTCTCTGTTTTCTGTGGGTTCCCCCATTCCATGGTGGATTCTGACAAAGTCCCTTAGATGATTCTCTTGAAGCACTGCTCTTTACTCTCCACTTTGTTTCTTCTCCATGAGATTGGTGCACACTAGCGGCTTCTACGCAGTCATCTTGAACCTCCCAACTGATGCTGGATTCCTGATTCAAAATAAATTTTTATTTAAAGTATTCTTTTTATATATAATCCCTGCATTAAATGACATTGTTGAGAAACTTGATTTCATTTTCATTATCTTTCATTTCTTTGCTTGGGATTATTTTAGATATTCATTTTCTGTGGGAGCTTTTAATTATTCCATTTGTCTTTGATTTAAAATTTCAAAAAAAAATTTGGTTTGGGATTTTGTTTCTTTTTTCTTTCTTCATTCTAATCTGACCCTTTGAATTGAAGCACAGGCATATACCTTGAGTTTTTGGAACGTTCTGCTATTATTATATCTGATTATTTCCTGTCTTTTATATTATTTTAGTTATTCATGGAAAGTTACCCCTATGACTTTGGTTAAGCTTATATGATTATTTTATTTTCCTCTTGATCTCTATCACTTTTGATTTTGCTTGTATATTTGAGATAAATAGTTGACATCTAGGTGATATTCCATTTATTTGTATATTATCTTCAATTATATTGTTTAAACAATTATTTCTTGTGCTATACTTATTCCTTTTCAATATTTTATTTGTTGTTGTTTAAATAAGGCTTTTTTTACTTTTATAGAATATTGTACTTAATATTTTGTTTTTCTTGTTTCATTGTCTTGTTAAAACATAAACTTAGGCACATTAAAATCTTAAAGAGTTTCTTTGAGCATAACGTCAATTCACAAACTGGGCAGCACTAGAGCACAAGTGGGTCAGGGCTCCCCTGAAAGTGCACAAGGGGAAAAATTGTACAAAGTGTTCTCAAAAGCCAGACAGAGAAAATATTTGATTGGTTAAAGTGGAACAGTAGCCTTCTTCAGTTAGATGTTAATTGAAAGTTTCTGATTGGTTAAGCTACTCCAAGTTGGGTTTTTGTTTGTTTACCTAGGAGCACAGAACACTGGAGCTGTCTCGACCTTATGGGTTCCAATTAATTTTTTAAAAAGTTTTAAAGCTTATTTTCTGCACTGAATCATCTTCGTTTCCTTCAAATTATTGCTTACTTTCCTTTTTCTGTCCCCTAATATTTTAACCTCAATCATTTTCTTTTACATTCCAGGCTTTTGTTAAGTATACTGTGATTATTCATTTCAACTTCTTCATTTTATGTTACTTTAGTTTTAGAGCAAATAAATAATAGAGTTGGTCAGAATCTCTCTAAATGCAGGCTTGTTTTGAGACATGAAAAGCTTTGTCTTATCTGAGTGATGAGAGACCTATAATTTGGCAGAATGAGAAGGGCTTCACTCTGTGGTGCAATCGTCCATAGTTATTTGCCATAGTCTTTTTTGACAACTTACTTTTCTTTAAACAGAGAAAAAAGACTCAGGTTCTTTGCCTGGGATTAAACACTTTGCATAATTTGACTATGGATAGGGAATAATGTCATAAAGTCAACTTCCTATATATGGAATGTCAAGCTCACTCTTTTTCACAGCTATTTTTTACCTATTTTAAGCCCTATTGCTATAAAAGTTAGGAAAGTTCTCAGGGACATGAGTTCTACCTGACTGGTAAGGGGCTCACAAGATTTTAATCTGTAAGATACAGATGTGTGTGTGTATATATATACACATATATACATATATATGTGTATGTATATGTATATATGTGTATATGTGTATGTGTGTGTGTATGTGTGTGTATATATATATTTGTATATTCCAGCTGCCCCAGGTATTCTTTATTTTATTTACTTTCTCGAAGGTTGCTAAAGAACTTCCTGTTTTACTTTGCCATTTACATTTATGTTTGCTGAATATGGAGTGGAGATTTTTCTTGTCTATGATGAAGACTTTGGGTTTTCTTTTTGTATTTTCAACTGTTTTTATTTCTCTATTAATCCAGTTCCATCCAATTTACACACAATTGATATTATACTAAATAGCCACATTTTTTACTCTATGACACAGTTAAGAATGCATGTACCAACATCAGAATATTGTTAAAGTATTATATAAATTAATGATGGCATAAGTATGGCATAACTCCATATATGTTCTTAGCCTTGTTATTATTATCACAACATTTTCTGTCATTTCTGAGCAAGGGATGAAAAACCGTTAGAATTGTTCCGATATTCCTACCTCTTTTTCAATGCTTAGTATCTGTGCATGTTAGAAATTATAAATTTTAACATGACAATTTCTCAAAAATAAAATAAGATGGCTATCTGGAAATGACAGTATTCTATTATTAAGCTTGAATGATATGCAAGAAACAGATCTTATTAGATGGATTCTCCATCATTTGTTTAACTAGTCCCCTATGGTAAATAATATTTTTAAATATATTTTTTACTACTATATAAAATTTACAAGTGACTAACTCATGTCTGGTTCTTTGCAAACTTCTTTAAATCTGTTTATAATGTTCAATTAAAGTAATTGGCCAAGGTAAAGAACACAACACTCATTTTAGATCCATATCATTAAATAGCTCTCTAAAGTGTGTGCCAATTTACATTAGTACTGTGAATGAATGAATTCTCTCTAACACTATTAAACATATTTTTTCAATGTCAACAATTTAGGAGGTGATAAATGGCATCTAGTTTTACTTTAGATTTCTCCAAGTATGATGAAAATTTGATATGGTTTCATATGTTTATTAGCTATTTTTAAGAGAAGAGGCGTGACTGTCTCAGCTGTTCTTCATTTTCATCCCAAAGAGCTAAGGTTGTCCTCCTGCTCTGAAATTGCTTGTGTCTCCTTTGCATATTCTGCTTCTTTTTTCCTTCGTCCCATCTGCTTTGGATTCTCCTGTAACATGATTCCATCTGTTTTCCTTAAAAGTTCAAGTGCATTGGTTGTTACTATTTGTTGTTTTATGGCACATTTAAAAAATATATGTCTTCATTACATTGGCTGTTGCAGGGACTAGATAAGCTAACACAAGCAGAGATTTGAAACATTGCCTGACTCACAGGCACAGATCAAAGCTTGGTAGAGTATTTCTTTTTTTGTAATTTTTTTCTGTGAGCACCTTATTCATATGTTGATTACCATATCATACAGAGTTAAAGTTATTTCTTTTCTATTTGTAAACAGCTGCACTTTATTAAGAAAATTATTGTCGTATGTGCTACCTTTTTATGTTTTTCTTCAGATATGAATGTTTATATGCTCAAATTGCACTTTATTTTCTTTAGAGTTTTTACTTATGCAATATTTAAAAATGTCTCAAATAGAGATTTTTTTTCCATAAAAAGTAGATATATGCATGTAAATAAGTGAAAAAAATAAAGAAAAGAAAAATTGAGAAATGCTAAGGATAAAATTTTAAAAAGAGAATAATAATAAAAGTAGAAAAAAACCAAAAAATTTGTTGAGCTAAAGTATAAAATGGATATGAAAAATAAGGAATTGAAAAATGGAAAAGAAATACAATAATTAAAATTAGGGCAGATGGAAAAAATCAGAGGACAACAAATGAAAAAACAATACAATAAAATTAAATGTGACTCAAGAAATGAAAAGAAAAAGTATGTTGCTCCTCTGTAGCCATTACAATCAAATTCTTTGTTCAATATATCTAGTGTTATTGTCAACAATACACCAGGTAGAATATCCGACTTTCACACTCAGATCGTGTACCAGGAACTTCATTGCTCCTCAACAAAACCAGGAACATATCCACGTTTAAGGTCCAAAATCAGAAAGCTGAAATTTAAGTCTTGACAGCTGAGACAATTAAACCCCTTAGCTGCTAAATCCACCTAAATGGAGACATTTATTTTAGAATTTCTCGAACTCACAGAATGTTAACACTCAAATCTAACTATTCATAGAAAATTTAATCAAAATTCCTCCTCCCCCATAAAAAGTAACACATGGTAAAGAATAACCTTTTTTTCCTATAATTTATTGTAATATTTTTAAGAATAAAAAAATACAGCCTGGGATACCATTGTTATTTTGCATATTAATGTTTCCAGTTGGGTAACCTCAGGCAGGTTGTTTAATGTCCAAGTGGCTCAGTTTTCTCATCCATAACAACTTCATAGAGACACAAAGATAGAAATAGATAATATATTAAGTATATATTTAATATGCCTACTATCACATAGCTAACATTGGCTAGTCTTATAACACAATAGAATTTATAAAGTCCATGCAATACCAACCATAATTCCATTAAGTAGTAGTTATTTTTCTCCTAACTCTCATTCTTCACAGATTTAACTTCCTATGAAGAAGGAAATTTAGACTAATTTTCTTTAAATTTGCATATTAAAATTTTCTCTAAGAATCAAGATTTCATGATTAGAATTATAATTAAATTTCTGTGAAGTACAGGGAGATGCTTTCCCATTTTTTAAAATCCTACTTCCTTGCTTGACAAATTAGTAATTGTAGTACAGAGAGAATACTGAGATTCCCCAAGTCTCAAAGCTGCTTCGTAAGTCCCTGCATTCATTCAACCAGTGTGTGTGGACTCAGTACTATCAGCTGTGGTAATGTGCTGGGTGTTAGGAACACAATATACTTTCTTCTTCCATTTTACTTAAAGTCTAGTGGAAAAGTAGGGCAACCAGGTATATAAAACTACATCCATAGGCTCCCGTTGATAAATTCTGCTTGAGTTGCTCTTACAAGTTAGAGGAAAGTGTCTGTTCATATCCTTTGCCCACATATACACCATGGAATACTGTGCAGCCATAAAAAATGGATGAGTTCATGTCCTTTGCATGGACATGGATGAAGCTGGAAACCATCATTCTCAGCAAACTAACACAAGAACAGAAAACCAAATACTGCACGTTCTCACTCATAAGTGGGAGTTGAACAATGAGAACACATGGACACAGGGTGGGGAACATCACACACCGGGGCGTGTCGGAGGATAGGGGGCTAGGAGAGGGATAGCATTAGGAGAAATACCTAATATAGGTGATGGGTTGAGGGGTGCAGCAAACCACCATGGCACGCGTATACCTATGTAACAAAACTACACGTTCTACACATGTACCCCAGAACTTAAAGTATATTAAAAAAAAAAAGGTAGAGGAAATTGGCGAAAGCTGCATCTTGTTGCATCTTGTAAGATGTGACAATGAGTCTTACCCCACCTCTTCATAATATGCATTTAAATATTTTTCATGGAGGTTCATTTTATCATTATCATCCTATCATTTTAACAATGAGTAATAATCCTGAGTATTAGGAAATTGCTTTAATTTCATTAGCTTTTTATGTCTGTAATTTTCAGATTAATTTTATAAGAATTCCTTCAGAAGATTCGTATGGGGAAAGTGATTATTTGTACCTAAGAAATTAAAGCAAAATTTACAGAGAAAAGTTAAGCAAAAGTTTTCATTCGAAATAGATAAAACATTGGACTTTATTTTTTATGTCAACTATGGCATGGTTTAGGAATAGAAGAGTTTTTTTTTAACTTAGAAATATTTATAGATATATACTGCAACTTTCTTCTTGAAGTTTTTCATTTGGGGTACTCATGGAGAAGAGAATATCTGATGTGACAATCTTGTTATATTTGTTCATTCATTTTAATGAGTTTTTGACATGTGCTCTACCAAAAAAGATACCTTGTAGTAAATGACTGAGTAATGAAAGACTGTATTTTGATGAGAAAAAAATCATTTTTTTTTTTGTTGGGTGGTGAATCAGACTGTCATTCTAACACTAACCATCTTCCCTTTCTAAGAGGTGTTTTTTTTTTCTTTCTATTATAACAAAATGCATTTACTGTTGTCCAGAAAGGGTATTCCTTGAGAGAAATGTGGATGAAATGAGCATTATTATTTAACAAGCTAATTAAAAAGTAAAATATGTTAAGTCTATTTTTTTAGTATACTCAGTTTACATTATGTTTTTTTCCAGATATGTAACATAATACCATAAGTATCCCTTTGTTAGCTCTATGACAAGATAGGAAGGCAGACTTAGCCATAGGTTTTAATTTGGAAAACATAGTTTTGTAGATTTAAATAAAACTGAATTTCAATTAAATTGTATTTTTCTATACTTTAAGTTGTAGAAAAATTTTTAACGTAGCTCTATTATCTCTTTTCTCTTTCTTTTTGTCTTTCCTCCTTCCTTCCCCTCTTCCTTTCTTCAAGGGATCTTCATCTCTAATTATATTCTAACTTCTTCCCAATATATGCCTGCAGCTCAGACCTTCCTCCTGTGTCCTAAATGTCTATAATTAGCTTCCTATCAGACTTCCGCAAATAAATGTGACTCAGAAATTTCAAACACAGTATACAATACTAAACATATGAATTTTCTGTCGAAACTTCACTCTGTTATTCATCTGGTCAATCCTAAAAATACTGTGATACTTCTTCCCTCTCATTTATATGAACAGTTTGTTACTTTTCTTCCTCCAACTTGTTTCTCAATGCTTATGTCTTAAATCTCAACCTTATTGCTCTAATGAAGATCTACATTAGCATTTCTCTTCATAAATAGATAACATTCTAATATGTCTTTTAACCAGTTCTTTTTCTTGTTACTAAAGATGTCTTTCCAAATTACACACTTGATCCTCTTATCCTTCTGTGCATAAGTCTTGTGACTTTCCATTGTGCACAAAATCAAAAACTATCTCTTCATCATCACATTCAAAAACCTTTGTAATTCGGCCTCATCTGATCTCAAGTTCAGCCTTCCTCCTGTGTACTTTTAAGTATTAATACTAATATTCCCCGAGTACAACTTGTACTATCAGGGACACCGCCTGTCTCGTACTCTTTTTCCTGTCTAGAAAGTCTTTCCATCATCACTTAATGACTTTTCTTTTTTCAAGGTGTAGTTGCATTGATGAAGCCTCTCAAAAGAGATCTAGGATATTATATTCATTCTCCAGACAAAACTAACACACGTGTAAAGTGGTGCTTCAACCAAACATACTTAACTACAATAATTACTGCACTTTGGCATAATTATTTCTAAAGAAATTCACTCTCTACACTGTGGCATTTTGAGTGCAGGATCGTTTGTGTATCCCTAGCAGTGTGTGCAGCTCATAGTAGTCGCTGTTATCTATTACCCAAATGAAGAGACCACGGCTGAAACAATACTTGTTCCATTTCTGTTTCTAATCATATGGCTGTGTTCCAGTTTTATTTCTTTGGATCTTGTGTTTACAACTCTCAAATTTAGAGGTTTAGTTAGATTTTAATATTCTTTCAACAATGAAAAATAGTTGGTATTTTTTAGTTTTTTCTTTGAACTTTGATAATACTTGCTGTTTAATATATACAGACAAATTTTTAAAATTGGAATTAAAGAATAGATGTATCAGCTTAGATGGATATTAACACATCTATTTCACTTGCAAGCATTTGGCTTTTGCTTCTTTATTAATAAAACATATTTTAAAGAAGAATATATGATTTTAGCATTAATAGATGAATTTAAAGGAAATTTACCACTTCTACTTGTTACTGAAATCCAAGCCAGAGTGCTTGGCAATATTTATTATGTTCCATACCTTTCATGGAACTCAGATGCCTTTCCAAATATGACTTTATTAATCTTTCAATCTTGCAGTGCAATATCAACAGATTGATCAAATCTATTACAGTCTATGCTCCAGAAATTTCTAAAAAATTGAGACAAAAATTTCCAATTTTTTACAGTATCAGCTGCTTTTTGCACAGAATTACCCAGCATGCAGGAGATAACATGAAGGGAAAATTTGTCCTTGGCAACCTATGCAGTACATACAACATCCACAAGGAGGTCTATGTGCATATTTTCTTTCTTATTCTTCTCTCCTTTCTCTTGCCCCTGCTTCTTTTTTCTTTTCTTTTTTCTTTTTTTTTTTTTTTTTGAGACTCCGAGTCTCTCTCTGTCGCCCAGGCTGGAGTGCAGTGGCGCATCTCGGCTCACTGCAAGCTCTGCCTCCCGGGTTCACGCCATTCTCCTGCCTCAGCCTCCCGAGTAGATGGGACTACAGGCGCCCATCATCACGGCTGATTTTCTGTATTTTTTTAGTAGAGACAGGGTTTCACCGTGTTAGCCAGGATAGTCTCGATCTCCTGACCTCGTGATCCACCCACCTTGGCCTCCCAAAGTGCTGGGTTTATAGGCGTGAGCCACCACACCCGGCCTTCCTCCTACTTCTTTTTCCTCTTCTCAAAAATTTGTTTTTAAATGATGTGTAAAATAATTTTAAGTACGTATTTGAAGTAACTGTATCTAATTATATTGATATTTAGTATTAATGTACTGCATGCCCTTAAATATATATTTCCATTTATTTTATATTAGATTAGGCTATAGAGAGTTCTTAGAATTTACTGGGTAAATTGTATACATAAATTGCAAAGCATTGAAATTGTTACTTATATTCCAAAACTCATTTGTATATTTCATTCAGTCACATATTCAAGTACATATTTTGTTTTGTTTTTGAGACTAGTATTTGTTTTTTCCTTTTTATTAGTTTATTCTGTTATAAACTTTAATTTTAGTGATGATGATAAAATACATGCAATGTATTTTAATGCTTTTAATGACAGAAATGAATTAAGGGCAATTTTTGGATCGAACTGTAATTTAATTTAATTTCACAGTAAGTAAAGCAGTTTTAAAAAAATATTTAGGATTTGTGTGTATATACAATTTTTTGATATTTTGCATATTTGGCAATGATGATAAATAAATTAGTCTATATTTTGAAGTACACATTTTTAATTATCTATTAATTAATATACGTGGCAGGAACCCAGATCATGCTCAGTCTTTAAGTATCTTTTGGGAACAAACAAATGCGAAGAAATAAGAAGGTGAAAGATGAAAAGGCTATTATTTATGGACATTCTAGTAATTATTTTCTTGAAGCAAAAAACTCATTCAGAAAAAATTAACATACAGAAAAAGAAAACCCTGAAAAATAGCAGGAAGGACTGACACTGTGAGATTACTCATTTCCCTACAGAATTAGGAGAAAAGCTCTATTTTTCCTGGTAAAGAATTTTTTGAAAAAGCAAGTAAGACAGGTTTAATTAGACAATTTAGAAAACTAAGTAGATCAATATTCCTATAAATAATCATGATTTTACAGGCATAAATTATGGAAGAAAAAGGAATACAAATTTTATTAGTATTCTTTTCAAAGTGTGATGTATTAGCCAGACCCTAAGGACATGTACTAAGACGTTTTATCATGATGCAAACATTCTATATATTTTTAAACACATTTCCAGTAGAGTAGAACACCTCTCCATCAGAAGCACAGTCTAAACCAGGCCCAAGTTGTCTTAAATCCTGAAGATTCTGTATACACAATCAGGGAAGGTACATAGAAATGCTTGAGACAGTTTGTATCAGGCCGGATATATTTTAATTTTTTTATTCCCTCAATTTTTATTTGAAATATTTCAAAAGTGGAGAAAAGAGGAGAAAGACTGATTATAATAACATTAGTATTTCCTCCACCTAGATTTAAGAAGTATTAACTACAGCACTTTGGGAGGCCGAGACGGGCGGATCACGAGGTCAGGAGATCGAGACCATCCTGGCTAACACGGTGAAACCCCGTCTCTACTAAAAATACAAAAATTAGCCGGGCATGGTGGCGCACGCCTGTAGTCCCAGCTACACGGGAGGCTGAGGCAGGAGAATGGCGTGAACCCGGGAGGCGGAGCTTGCAGTGAGTCGAGATCGCGCCACTGCACTCCAGCCTGGGCGACAGAGCGAAACTCCGTCTCAAAAAAAAAAAAAAAAAAAAAAAAAAGAAGTATTAACTATATGTGCCTCTATTTTTCATCTCACTTTCTCTCTATAAATATATACAGAATCATTTAAAAATAATTTGAAGACATCATGAAACTTCAACTCTAAATTTCTTGGCCTGTATTTACTAAGAATATAATTGTCTTCTACACCATTACAATACTGTTTCTATATATTTACAAATTGATAGTAATTTGCCAATATTGACTAATAATTAATTTCCAATTCTATTACATTGTCACCCAAATTAGTTTATATTGTCCCTACACCAACAAGAATCCACATTGCATTTGGTTGCTACAACTTTTAAATCTAGAAGCACTTAATTCTTTCAAATAACATTGACTTTTTGAAGAATACAGATTCATTTTCTTATAACATGTAACAAATTCTTGCGTCTGCTGGTTTCTTCATTTTTGTCATTTAACTTGTTCTTTTATCCTCTATATTTCCTGAAAACTGGAAGTTACATCTGTCTTGATTGTATTCAGATTACATATTGGACTGGAAAAAAATTACAATTGGTGTTGCATCACATCTGGAGGCCCAGGCAGAACTCTTCCATGCTGATTTCTACATCCTTTTATTATAAATGCAGTAGTCTTAGAGCAATTACTTGCTTCTTGGCACTACAAGATGCCCAAAGCTGACCTTTCCCAGACCTAGAATTTTTCATGCTGGAAGAAGGTGAATATGTGTGAACAAGAGGGCATACTTTGATAAACTGGATTGTATTCAGCAAACATTCGTTCATCTCTCCCTCTCTCTTTTTCCTTGGATCGGAGTATACTTCCCTGCCTCTGTTCCTTTGGGACTAGCCCTGTGATTTGCTTTGATCAATGGAATGTGAGCAGAGATTATGTAAGCAGAAGCTTTAAATGGAATTACATAATTTAGCTTGTCACCTGTGATTGGTGATTCTCCATGAGAATATGCCTTGGGTAGGTTTTAGTTAATGAAAACTGAAGCACTCATAGAGCAGATATAAACTCAATATACAGCCTGTGCTAAACTGAGAAAATCAACAGCTTAAAGATGTAAAAGCCACAGCCAATGCACATACTGTGAGAAAAATAAATAAATAAATGAGAAAAATAAATGTTCATTGCTTTAAATTGCTAAGTTTTGCATTCTTATTGTTAAGCAGCATCGTTGTAATATTAGTTGACTGATGTGTAGATCAAGTTATGGCCACAACTGATTCTGCTACATATTGCCAATTTCCAACCATTTGGGATACTGTCCTTTCCACTCCTACCAGCAATGTAAGTATGTTTTTGTTTCCATTCAGTCTTGTAAACAGAATGCATCATCCAACTTCTGTATTACAGTGAAGTAGATGAAAAATACTATGTAGTTTAATGTGCATTTTTCTTATAATAAAGGAGAAAATTTTTAGTTTTCTTTTTTTATTCAGTTCCACATTTTCATGCCTTCTGGAAAATGTAGAAAGTAAAAAAAAAAAAAAAAAAAGAAAACTAATACAAAAATTTGGGACTTATGTAAGAGAAAGCATGTACTTCCATAAAATATAAATAAATTTCAAAAAATCAAGAAGTAAAAATAAACACCTATTAAAAATAAAGATATGAACAGATATTCTCCGAAAAAAAAGTAGGTTAAACATCCTTAACACGTAAAGAAAAGTGACATATATCTAGAGAGTTGGTAATAAAACTTCAGATCACCAAAAACAAATAAGAAGATCAAAGTGACTACAGAGAAAAGGTAGATTCACTACAGAGAACTGACAATTATAGACAGGCAGTTGATTTTGCAATGGCAACAAATGAAGTAACAGAGAGGTAGAGTCATACCTGTACATCGTGCTGGCAGAAGATAGCTTTCAAGCCAGCAAAATCAATTTTTTAAGAATAAGTGTAAAATAATGATATTCTCAAACAATACATACAACAAAACTTCAGAGAGTTATATATGTAGAGGCTTACAAATTAAAATTCTCAAAAAGAAGCGCTTCAGGAAGTAAAATGATTTCAAAAATAAATGTGAAGTAAAATATGAGGTGAAATGGGGCAAAAGGCAATGGTGGATAAATCTAAACATTGACTGTATAAAATAAGAAAAATGATACCTACTTGAAGTACTGGGAAATAATAACATAAAGATGAACATATTTCAAAAAATTAGTATCATTCAAACCTGCATTTCCAATAGAATACACATGGATTAGATTACTTAAATTAAAGATGATAATATTAACAACAAAACACAAATACATAGACAAAACTTAAAGTGTAGCTAAATTACCTAAAGTTTAAAAGATTAAAATTGCCTTAGGAAATTAATAAAATTGAAGATAGACAACATGAAAATATGCATGTTCATTTAAGTTTTATTTCTTAACAATTTTAAGTTATATAAATTTCACAGTTTATAGTGCATTTGAAAATAATTTAAAAAGTGTAATTCATTTATTTTATTTTGTAAATGATAAGTAAAAAATAAACATGTATATTTACATATCTACATATGTGTATATGTGTTTAATGTTTAGATTTTTACCTTAAAAGTTGTAGAAAATACTTTACCTATTATATTAATTTTTAAAACTTTACTTAGACATCCCACTTTTTATTTCCTGTGCATTTACCCAGCTATAGTTTAAATTATTTATTGGGACCTAGAAAAACATTAAAGTTATGAACAGCTAGATGTCCAGAAAGTGAGCAACTCTTTGATATTTTACCTCCTAGTTAATATTTAGAAATCTTTATCAACGTTCAAATATTATTCACTACTGTATATACTCAACAACAGAATTTTTCTAATGAATATATTTATTTTCTACAGCCAGGCATTATAATCTTTAAGGGCAAATAACTAGGATAAAAAAGCCGAATTTCTCATTATTTGCATTTTTCCCTAGATTTTACATTTTGGAATCAACAATGAAGAATTACAATTACACACATCAAATTTTTTATAAGATTTAATATAAACTCATTTTGATGAGCACTAATGAAGTTAGCAATGGCTAGCACACTCTCAATATGTTCCAGATGTCTTTAAGTTTGCTACCTGTATTCATTTAATCCTGAAAAGACTACTATCTCTTTTTTACAAGTGAGAAAAGGATGCCTCATGAATTAAAGTTCCTGGGAACACATAGAATGAGGTAGAGTTGGAAGTGAAGCAGATAATTTAACAACATAGCCTGTGTTCCTTATAGTACTACAATAAAGACAAGTCAGAAAATGTATTTCCTACCTCATAACTAGTCAGGGAAGAATACAATGGAGAAAATCGGTAGAACCAAGACACAGAATATAGACTTGAATAAAAGCAAGAGTTAAACTGTTTTTAAATTTTAAGGGCAAATAACTAGGAAGAAAAAAACACAACAAAAACAAAAACAAAACAAAACAAAAAAAACAGGCTGGGCGTGGTGGCTCACACCTGTAATCCCAGCATTTTGGGAGGCTAAGGTGGGCAGATCAAGAGGTCAGGATTTCCAGACCAGCCTGGTCAATATGGTGAAACCCCGTCTCTACTAATACTACAAAAATTAGCTGGGTGTGGTGGCAAGCACCTGTAGTCCCAGCTAATCTGGAGTCTGAGACAGACAAATCACTTGAACCCGGGAGGTGGAGGTTGCAGTGAGCCAAGATTGTGCCACTGCACTCCAGCCTGGGCAACAGAGGGAGACTCCGTCTCAAAAAAAAAAAAAAAAAAAAAAGTTGAACTTCTCATTATCGGCATTTCTAATGACCTAATCCAGGGATTTACCATAGAATAGAATCAGAGAGAGAGATTCCAAGATGGCCGAATAGGAAGAGCTCCAGTCTGCAGCTCCCAGCATGAGCGATACAGAAGATGGATGATTGCTGTATTTCCAACTGAGCTTTGAAGAGAGTAGTGCTTCTCCCAGTACGGAGTTTGAGATCTGAGAACGGACAGACTGCCTCCTCAAGTGGGTCCCTGACCCCCAAGTAGCCTAACTGGGAGACACCTCCCAATAGGGGCCAACTGACACCTCATACAGCCAGGTGCCCCTCTGAGACGAAGCTTCCAGAAGAAGGATCAGACAGCAACATTTGCCATTCTGTAATATTTGCTGTTCTGCAGACTCCGCTGGTGATACCCAGGCAAACAGGTCTGGAGTGGACCTCCAGCAAACTCTAACAGACCCACAGCTGAGGGTCCTGACTGTTAAAAGGAAAACTAACAAACAGAAAGGACATCCACACCAAAACCCCATCTGTACGTCACCATCATCGAAGACCAAAGGTAGATAAAACCACAAAGATGGGGAGAAGCCAGAGCAGAAAAGCTGAAAATTCTAAAAATCAAAGCGCCTCTTCTCCTCCAAAGGAACACATCTCCTTGCCAGCAACGGAACAAAGCTGGATGGAGAATGACTTTGACAAGTTGAGAGAAGAAGGTTTCAGACGATTGGTAATAACAAACTTCTCCAAGCTAAAGGAGGATGTTTGAACCCATGACAAAGAAGCTAAAAACCTTGAAAACAGATTAGACGAATGGCTAACTAGAATAAACAGTGTAGAGAAGTCCTTAAATGACCTGATGGAGCTGAAAACCATGGCACAAGAACTACGTGATGAATGCACAAGGTTCAGTAGCCAATTTGATCAAGTGGAAGAAAGGGTATCAGTGATTGAAGATCAAATGAATGAAATGAAGTGAGAAGAGAAGTTTAGAGAAAAAAGAGTAAAAAGAAATGAACAAAGCCTCCAAGAAATATGGGACTACGTGAAAAGACCAAATCTATGTCTAATTGGTGTACCTAAAAGTGACGGGGAGAATGGAACCAAGTTGGAAAACACTCTTCAGGGTATTATCCAGGAGAACTTCCCCAACCTAGCAAGGCAGGCCAACATTCAGATTCAGGAAATACAGAGAAGACCACAAAGATACTCCTCGAAAAGAGCAACTCCAAGACACATAATTGTCAAATTCACCAAATTTGAAATGAAGGAAAAAATGTTAAGGGCAGCCAGAGAGAAAGGTCGGGTTACCCACAAAGGGAAGCCCATCAGACTAACAGCAGATCTCTCGGCAGAAACTCTACAAGCCAGAAGGGAGTGGAGGCCAATATTCAACATTCTTAAAGAAAGAATTTTCAACCCAGAATTTCATGCCTTACAAGAGCTACTGAAGGAAGCACTAAACATGGAAAGAACAACCAGTACCAGACATTGCAAAAACATGCCAAATTGTAAAGACCATTGAGGCTAGGAAGAAACTGCATCAACTAACAAGCAAAATAACCAGCTAACATCATAATGACAGGATCAAAATCACACATAACAATATTAACCTTAAATGTAAATGGGATAAACACTCCAGTTAAAAGACACAGACTGGCAAATTGGATAAAGAGTCAAGACCCATCAGTGTGTCATATTCAGGAGACCCTTCTCACGTGCAGTGACACACATAGGCTCAAAATAAAGGGATGGAGGAAGATCTACAAAGCAAATGGAAAACAAAAAAAAAAAGCAGAGTTTGCAGTCCTAGTCTCTGATAAAACAGACTTTAAACCAACAAAGATCAAAAGAGACAAAGAAGGCCGTTACATAATGGTAAAGGGATCAATTCAACAAGAAGACCTAACTATCCTATATACACCCAATACAGGAGCACACAGATTCATAAAGCAAGTCCTTAGAGACCTACAAAGAGACTTAGACTCCCACACAATAATAATGGAAGACTTTAACACCCCACTGTCAACATTAGACAGATCAATGAGACAGAAAGTTAACAAGGATATCCAGGAATTGAACTCAGCTCTGCACCAAGCAGACCTAATAGACATCTACAGAACTCTCCACCCCAAATCAACAAAATATACATTCTTCTTAGCACCACATCACACTTATTCCAAAACTGACCACATAGTTGGAAGTTAAGCACTCCTCAGCAAATGTAAAAGAACAGAAATTATAACAAACTATCTCTTAGAACACAGTGCAATCAAACTAGAACTCAGGATTAAGAAACTCACTCAAAACCACTCAACTACATGGAAGCTGAACAACCTGCTCCTGAATGACTACTAGATACATGATGAAATGAAGGCAGCAATAAAGATGTTCTTTGAAACCAATGAGAACAAAGACACAACATACTAGAATATCTGGACATATTTAAAGCAGTGTGTAGAGGGAAATTTATAGCACTAAATGCCCACAAGAGAAAGCAGGAAAGATCTAAAATTGACACCCTAACATCACAATTAAAAGAACTATAGAAGCAAGTGCAAACACATTCAAAAGCTAGCAGAAGGCAAGAAATAACTAAGATCAGAGCAGAACTGAAGGAGAGAGAGACACAAAAAAACCCTTCAAAAAATCAGTGAATACATATGTAACTAACCTGCATGTTGTGCATATGTACCCTAAAACTTAAAGTATAATAAAAAAAATTAAAAAAAATCAATGAATCCAGGGGCTGATTTTTTGAAAAGATCAACAAAACTGATAGACCGCTAGCAAGACTAATGAAGAAGAAAAGAGAGAAGAATCAAATAGACGCAACAAAAAATGATAAAGGGGATGTCACCACCAATCCCACAGAAATACAAACTACCATCAGACAATACTATAAACATCTCTATGCAAATAAACTAGAAAATCTAGAAGAAATGGGTAAATTCCTCTACACATACACCCTCCCAAAACTAAACCAGGAAGAAGTTGAATCTCTCAACAGACCAATAACAGGCTCTGAAATTGAGGCAATAATTAATAGCCTACCAACCAAAAAAAGTCCAGGACCAGATGGATTCACAGCCGAATTCTACCAGAGCTACAAAGAGGAGCTGGTACCATTCCTTCTGAAACTATTCCAATCAATAGAAAAAGAGGGAATCCTCCCTAACTCATTTTATGAGGCCAACATCATCCTGATACCAAAGCCTGGCAGAGACACAACAAAAAAGATAATTTTAAACCAATATCCCTGGTGAACATCAATGCAAAAATCCTCAATAAAATACTGGCAAACCGAATCCAGCAGCACATCAAAAAGCTTATCCACAATGATCAAGTTGGCTTCATCCTTGGGATGCAAGGTTGGTTCAACATATGCAAATCAATAAACCTAATCCATCATATAAACAGAACCAAAGACAGAAACCACATGATTATGTCAACAGATGCAGAAAAGGCCTTCAACAAAATTCAACAGCCCTTCATGCTAAAAACTTTCAATAAACTAGGTATTGATGGGACATATTTCAAAATAATAAGAGCTATTTATGACAAACCCACAGCCAATATCATAGTGAATGGGCAAAAACTGGAAGCATTCCCTTTGAAAACTGGCAGAAGACAGGGATGCCCTGTCTCACCACTCCTATTCAACATAGTGTTGGAAGTTCTGGCGAGGACAATCAGGCAAGAGAAATAAATAAAGAGTATTCAATTAGGAAAAGAGGAAGTTGAATTATCCCTGTTTGCAGATGACATGAATGTATATTTAGAAAACCCCATCATCTCAGCCCCAAATCTCCTTGAGTTGATAAGCAACTTCAGCAAAGTCTCAGGATACAAAATCATGTGCAAAAAATCCCAAGCATTCCTATACACCAAAAACAGACATAGAGCCAAATCATGAGTGAACTTCCATTCACAATTGCTTCAAAGAGAATAGAATACCTAGGAATCCAACTTATAAGGGCTGTGAAGGACCTCTTCAAGGAGAGCTACAAACCACTACTCAACTAAATAAAAGAGGACACAAACAAATGGATTAACATTCCACGCTCATGGATAGGAAGAATCAATATTGTGAAAATGACCATATTGCCCAAGGTAATTTATAAATTCAATCCCATCCCCATGAAGCTACCAATGACTTTCTTCACAGAATTGGAAAAAACTATAAAGTTCATATGGAACCAAAAAAGAGCCCGCATTGCCAAGACAATCCTAAGCCAAAAGAACACAGCTAGAGGCATCACACTACCTGACTTCAAACTATACTACAAGGCTACAGTAAACAAAACAGCATGGTACTGCTATCAAAACAGAGATATAGACCAATGGAAGAGGACAGAGCCCCCGGAAATAATACCACACATCTACAACCATCTGATCTTTGACAAATCTGACAAAAACAAGCAATGGGGAAAGGATTCCCAATTTAATAAATGGTGCTGGGAAAACTGGCTAGCCATATGTAGAAAGCTGAAACTGGATCCCTTCCTTACATCTTATACAAAAATTAATTCAAGATGGATTAAAGACTTAAATGTTAGACCTAAAACCATAAAAACCCTAGAAGAAAACCTAGGAAATACCATTCAGGACATAGGCATGGGCAAGGACTTCCTGACTAAAACACCAAAAGCAATGGCAACAAATGCCAAAATTGACAAATGGGATCTAATTAAACTAAAGAGCTTCTACACAGGAAAAGAAACTACCATCAGAGTGAACAGGCGACCTGCAGAATGGGAGAAAATTTTTGCAATCTACCCATCTGACAAAGGGCTAGTATCCAGAATCTACAAAGAACTTTAACAAATTTACAAGAAAAAATCAAACAACCCCATCAAAAAGTGGGCAAAGGATATGAACAGACACTTCTCAAAAGAAGACATTTATGCAGCCAACAGACACATGAAAAAATGCTCATCATCACTGGCCATCAGAGAAATACAAATCAAAACCCCAATGAGATACTATCTCACACCAGTTAGAATGGTGATC
This sequence comes from Homo sapiens, assembly GCF_000001405.40. Taxonomy (NCBI): domain Eukaryota; kingdom Metazoa; phylum Chordata; class Mammalia; order Primates; family Hominidae; genus Homo; species Homo sapiens. The sequence goes on from NC_000007.14 coordinate 145,664,019, forward strand.
ATTAAAAAGTCAGGAAACAACAGGTGCTGGAGAGGATGTGGAGAAATAGGATCACTTTTACACTGTTGGTGGGACTATAAACTAGTTCAACCATTGTGGAAGACAGTGTGGCGATTCCTCAAGGATCTAGAACTAGAAATGCCATTTGACCCAGCCATCCCATTACTGGGCATATACCCAAAGGGTTATACATCATGCTGCTATCAAGACACATGCACAAGTATGTTAACTGTGGCACTATTCACAATAGCAAAATCTTGGAACCAACCCCAATGTCCATCAATGATAGACTGGATTAAGAAAATGTGGCACATATACACCATGGAATACTATGCAGCCATAAAAAAGGATAAGTTCGTGTCCTTTGTAGGGACATGGATGAAGCTGGAAACCATCATTCTGAACAACCTATTGTAAGGACAGAAAACCAAACACCGCATGTTCTCACTCATAGGTGGGAATTGAACAATGAGAACACTTGGACACAGTGGGGAACGCTTGGACACCCAGCCTGTCGTGGGGTGGGGGGAGGGATGAGGGATAGCATTAGGAGACATACCTAATGTAAATGATGAGTTAATGGGTGTAGCATGCCAACATGGCACATGTATACATGTGTAACAAACCTGCATGTTGTGCATATGTACCCTAGAACTTAAAATATAAAAAATAATAGAATCGTAGAACAATTTACAGAAGAAAATCTTTGCAGTCTAAAGAACTAAAAAAAAAAAAAAAAAAAAAAAAAACAAGTATTTTCCTTAGAAGAACAGAGATACAAATACCTGTTGCTGAGGAATGAAGAGCAGTTGAAGGAAGTCTTTTTGAATACACTCGAATTTTCTTAAAAAATAGGTATGAGTGAGTGACGCCATTAGGAAGAGAAGAAACAAAGCTTACATCCAGTGACAACAAAGCAAAATTAACAAGACGTCAATAACATTGAGGGGCACACAAACACATTCACTGAGAGCCCAGAGAAAAGTTAGAGCCAAAGGTGATTTGCATAAAAATATATTGGAGTGATTGGAGCCAATCGGTATCATTATAAAACTGTATTTTTCAGAGTGCCCAAGCTCAAAGTAGGAAAGAGACAGAAGCAAGTTTATTTACCACTGTCTAGGGACTGGCAAGATTGGTGCAGATAAGATAATATGTAAAGCATTTAATATTTAAAAGTTTACAGCCAAAGAAACCTTAGTAATGAACTTGGTAGGGCCAGATATTGTAAAGTAGTTTCTTCTCTCATTTACTGTGAGGAAGCATTTAATGATAAAAACGTCTTCAAATTATCATTTTTAAATACTTAAGTTATAGAAAAATGTAGGCAATTCAAAATGAAACATGCCAATGAACCTAAGAACAAACACAGCTGGAATACTTTTGGGCTTTTGTAAAATTGGAATTATATCTGTTTCTTGTTTTTATCTTATCCAATTAATATATTTAGGAGGTCAGGATTTGGCATGGTTCTGGAAAAAGTGTTGCCTTCTGGGATATAGAACAGAGTGCACAGGCAGTTTGGACCACAGAGATATAGCTGGCAGCATCAAGCTGCCTTATTAAATTAAGTTTCTTCTACCTTTTTTCTACCACTGAAGATAGAGGCTCAAGAGTTATGTTGCAAGAGGTTGGACTTTGTGAAAGGCTACTAAAAGCTCTTTTGTTTATGAAAGATATTTTGGCTGATTCAACTTTTTTGACATGGTTTGCATTCCATAGTTGAGAAGGAAAACATGTGGTCTTTAAAATCTTCCAGAAATCTGTTGGCAAAGTCTGTCTTAATTATTCTTACCCCCGATTTTTATATCAGCACTGTTGTAGTTAGAGTGCAGGCAATGGGTATTGCAAAACACTAACAAATAAAATTAAAAGAGACAATATTTCAGCATAATTAGTGAGAGCAGATTGAATTTTAATCATCTTGCCCAAGCTAAGTGGAGAAGCAAGTGAATTTTCAAAAGGACTTGCAGAAGGAAAAAATGGTGATGATGCCAAGAAAAATGAAGCCGCGGTGAATGGAAAAGAATAGAGTTCAGTCTTTGAGGAGCATAAAACTTAGGCTCTAGGGGATTATGGCTAAAGTTAAGGGTTCAACATGAGACAGTGGCATCAGAGTACATTAGAGTTTAAATGCTCTTAAGGGGCTACCTAGTCCATTTATCAATGTATTAGAAAATTATCTCTAAACAAATGACAGTCTAAACTTTTATTAATACCTCAAAAGATGCAAACAACTGATGGTAAAGCTTATTCCACAGATTTCCAACTCTAATTGTTGAGGACCTAGTGCCTCCTTATACTAAACCATATTTGTTTTTGTATAACTTGCAATAACTGAATCTAATTTTATTTTCTGGACCAGCCTAAAATACATTATTCTTTTCCTCATATTGTAAAAATTTAAGTGATTTTAGAGATCATTTTCTTCCTTCAAGTATTCTTTTTTCATGAGTTTTCTCATTTCTTCAAGTATTTTTCAATTACATCATTACAAACAACCTCGCTTAATTTATTCTCTTCTGTATTTTCTATATTTGCCATCAATTCCTAAAATCCTATAAGCCTAAACATTTAAAATATGATCTAGGAAGTACCAAGAAGAGTGACAATTATTTCTCCTCTTATATGTAATACCATCTTCAAAGTGATCTAAGTTCTATTTGTATCATTTATTTAATATTTTGACCCAAACATGCAGTGAACTAAATTCCCTAAGTTATGTTTTCCATACATCAGTCTTTGCCATCTCGCATTTGAAATTTACCTTCATATCCCTATTAAATTTCATAGTATTTCTATTTTTATCTGTCTTCTCTGTTTTGCTATCCTTCCCAACTTCGCGTCATTTAAAAATTAGTTAAGTGTAAATCAGTGTTATCTTTGAAGGAACTAGATAAAAAGTATTGAAATTATTTGACTCCAGGACATGGTAAGGATGAAATCACCAGGATGTACATGCTGACACACACACAAAAATGAATGGGGTGAAACAATGGTGACAGAGAAGAATCGTGTTGTATCACAATTCCGACATCAAACATGTCTCTCTACTACATATAGTTAAGCTTTAAGGGAGGGTGCTAGAATTAAGATACTGTAACACAATTCAGCATATTGGAACTTTGGTATGAATGGATTCCAGAGAGAAAAAAAAGAGAGAGAGAGGGAGGCAGAAAGTGCTATGCAAAATATGTCAAAATATTTTCATTTTAATTTAGGCTTGCTTCTGGATGGAAGTTTTTCTTTTCAAAGCTAAAGTTTGTGGTTTTTTGACATGGAGAATTATATATTTGAATCAAGGTAATGCCTGAACTAAAGTGGTGTGATAAAACCAAAGACTGACATTAGATAATATAACGGAAATGAAATATAAATCAAAAGTGTTCCTTTCTTAAATAATTGAATTCATAACTCATGAGTTTGAATTTCAAATTTTATTCACTTATTTTAGGATGGCTTTCTAAATTGGCTTTTCCCATTTGATATGCCAAAAACACTTGATAGCCCAAACTTTCCTATTATAGAACTACTTTGATAAACTAACTTTGAAGTTGATAGGATTATTGCAGACAAAAAAGAATGATACTGCAATGCTTGAAATTTAGGTCAATATACATCATCTTAAAGATTTTGTAATTTGATGTGGACATTTTCACATTGCTGTGTTAAGTATCACGAAGGATACAAATAATTAAAGATCTAGTGTCTCCTCTTTGTGTGTTTGAAATCTCATAGGATAAAAAAGAAATGTAATATTCATTTATTTATTCATTCATCATTTGTTTAACAAATATTGATAAAACACATTCCATGTGCCAGACACTTCTTAGGTGTTTGGGAAACATTAGTTTAAAAAACAGACAAACATTATGCCTTCACAACGCTTTAATTATAGCAGTCAGAGACAGACAATAAACATAATAAAAAACAGGTTAAATTATATGCTAGAATATATTGTAATTTATAAAATAAGAATAAAAAAGGTGGAGTCTGGGTTGTAGAGGTAAGCCTGATGCTGTTTTGTATTTGGTCGTTTCTGTAGGCCTCATTTAAAAGGAAATGCTTAAGAGATTGTATGAAATGATGAGGTTAGCCATGTAGATTTCTGGAAGGAGAGCAGACAGAAAAATATCCAGTAGAAAAACTCTATGACAAGGATGTGCTTGGTTTGTTCCAGGAATGAATGGGTGACCAGTGTGACTGGAGTAGTATAGACAGCTGGAGACAGGTTGGAGATGAGGTAAGATGGCTCACACAAGGCAATGTAAACTATCGTAAAGACCGTTGATTTTACTCTTAGTGAGGTAAGACACTTGGGACATAACATGGTCTGATTTCCACTTTTCAGGAATTATTTTGACTGCGGTGTTAATAATGGACTGAAGGGAAAAAGGTGATAACCAGTGAGAAGCCTATTAAAGCAACATACATTGGAGATAATCATCCCTTGGATCAAGGTTGTGGTAGAAGAAGATGGTGAGAAATGGTGGTCAGACGTTTCCTTCATTTTGACAACCAAATTTTGTTAAGAGACACCCATGTTTAACAGAGATAAGACTTGAGTTAAAAAGTGATGTAGTTTGGCTCTGGATCCCCACAAAAATCTCATGTTGAATTATGATCATCAGTGTTGAAGGAGTTGAATGTTAGAGATAACTGAATTTCTCAGAGAAAAGTTGTGAGTTAGAAAGTGATATGGTTTGGCTCTGTGTCCCCACCCCAATCTCATGTTGAATTATGATCAGGTGTTGGAGGAGGGACCTGGTGGGAGACGATCAGGTCATGGGGGTGGATTTCCCCCTGACTGTTCTTGTGATAGTGAATTTTCATGAGATCTGGTTGTTTAAAAGTGTGTAGCACTTCCCTGTTCGCGCTGTCTCTCTTGTCACCATGTGAAGATGTGCTTGCTTCCCCTTCACTTTCTGCCGTGATTGTAAGTTTCCTGAGGCTTCCCTAGCCATGCCTCCTGTACAGCCTGTGGAACTGTGAGACAATTACACTTCTTTTCTTGATAAATTTCCCATTCTCAGGTATGTCTTCACAGCAGTATGTGAACAGACTAATACAGAAACAAAGAGCCATATCAAAATTTTTTGGATTTTTGTGAGTAGTTGAAGGATGGGATTGTCTTTAACTGACACAAGGAAGGCTATGGATAGAACACTTTTTAGTGGAGGAAGATCAGCAGTTCAGGTTTGAATTTGTTATCTTGTGATTCCCATTCCACATCCTAGTAGAGATATTGAACAGTTAGATAAATAAGTGTCAAGGTTTCGCCTAGATGTATAAATGTAGAAATGGTCAGGACCAATGACTGTCTTGGGGTGTTACAAAATTTGAAGTTGGTGAGTTAGAGGATATTATAGAAGAAAAGGTTAAGGAGAGACTAATGAGAAAATAGGATGTGATGTTTTGGAAAGCAAGTGAGGAAAATGTATCAAGGAGGAATTATTTAATCCATAATTTGAAATGTTCCTGACAGTTCAAGAAAGATGAAGACTGAGGCTTGACCTTTGGGTTGAGCAACATGGAAAGTGCTGGTGATTTTGACAAAACAATTTAAGTAGAATTGTGGGAGAAAAGGCCTAATTGTTGCTTTCTTTGTAAATGTGTGTGTGTGTGTGTGTGTGTGTGTGTGTGTGTGTGCGAGAGAGAGAGAAAGAGAGAGAAATACAGAGAGAGAGAGAGAGAAGAGAGAAGGATACAGTGAGAGATTAAATTAATGATGTGGTAGGTCGCTCCTGACATGGCCCCAGTGATGCTTCAGCTCCTGGTATTTTTTACCCATGTGATTTCTTCCCCTTGCGTATGGGCTGGACATAGGTCTTCTAGCCAAAAGAATATGGCAAAGTGATGAGATGCCACTTCTATGATTAAGTTATAGTTTTGTAGCCAAAAGAATACGGCAAAATGATGAGATGCCACTTCCATGATTACGTTATAAAAAAACTTTCAATTTCATCTTGCTAGTCCACTGTCCCTTCCAGAAATTATTTTCTGCTCTCTTGCTTGTTTGCCCCAAAAAATGCAAGTTTCTGGATTGTTAGATGATCTATGGAAAGGCCTAAAAGACAAGGAATTTAAAGAGGTCTCCAGCCAACAACTCATGAGGAACTAAGATCTCTATTCAACAGCCCACAAGGAACAATCTGGGAAACACTACTTACTACCCTTTAAACCTCGAATTGATTGCAGCCTCATAAGATTATCAGTTAAACACATGTGCAGTTAAATTTGACTTTCACATAAACAATAATTTTTTAAGTATAAGTATGCAATATTTGTGTTATACACTAAAAATTATTCAGTTTGCCTGAAATTCATATTTAATTGGATATTGTATATTTTCTTTGCAATCTGGCAATCCTACTTGTAAAGAACCCAGAGTCAGAGGACCCAGTTGAGATGCTCTCTGATTCCATGTTCACAGCGACAGAAATAATAAGTGTGTTTATTATTGTGAAATTTAGAGGTCATTT